>NC_000006.12:65943715-66246745 GCF_000001405.40 Homo sapiens | reverse complement strand
GTCAGCTCATTGCCACTCTATATGTGTCAAGTATTAATTACCCAGAAGTTTTAGTCACAATTGATCTTTGTTTGTGAGGAAAGTATATGTGATTTTTTTGCTATAATTCTTAGTAGACATTTTAAAATAAAATTGAGTATATTTGCAGCAGATAAAAATATAAAGTTATATTTTGTTCCAAAAGGTGACAGTTTTGGATAAAGCAAATAGGCATTGACCTGAATTGCTTTTTATAGAATAATAAGCCATTACATTATATTATATATTGTAGCATGAAGGAAATGTGAGAGCACATTTAAGATCAGTATACCTTTCTTCCTTTGGTGTCAATGTATATACTGAATAATTCATTTTGCTAATCTAATGAACAATGTTTGTTTTGCTTGAATGACTAGCTGGTGAAAAAATGGACTCTCTAGAATTATTCTTTAAATTACCTTTTCAATAACTATACAGATAATAAAAGTGAATGGTTGGGCGCGGTGGCTCATGCCTATAATCCCAGCACTTTGGGAGGCCGAGGTGGGTGGATCACAAGGTCAGGAGTTCGAGACCAGCCTAGCCAGTATGGTGAAACCCCCGTCTCTACTAAAAATACGAAACTTAGCCAGGCGTGGTGGTACACACCTATAATCTCAGCTACTCAGGAGGCTGAGGCAGGAGAATTACTTGAACCTGGGAGGTAGAGGTTTCAGTGACCCGAGATCATGCCACTGCACTCCATCCTGGGCAACAGAGTGCAACTCCGTCTCAAATTAAAAAAATAAATAAAAAATAAAAAAATAAAAGTGAAGAATGAATACTGAAAACATAAGCACATAATCAAATTGCATTTTTCCTCCAAAACTAAAAATTTTGCTTTTTTTGCATGACTGTTTCTTACAAATGAACACTCATATTCTGTCTCATTAATGCTTCTGGGAATAATCTTGAGCCTTGAATAGAGAATATATTGTAGAAAAGACTGAAAAGAAGACATAGCACCTTTAGAAGTTCCATAATGGATGCTTAAACTTCACAATGAAAACAATATCTAGTCCATTGAGCATACCTTTTTGCCCACCTTAGTAAAACAAGTATCTCCTACTTTTGATTGCATGTGTAAACCGAGAAGGCCAGATATTATTCCAGATAGAAAGTCTAACAGTAGGGAATATTGAGACTTTGTGGAGGTTATTTCTTCAATTTTAGTCCTTGTTTACTGAAGAAAAAGATATTTCAGTATTTTGTGTATGACTTCTGTGCCTCATTTGGCTCAGCTTTGTTACCAGGAAACAAAGAGAAACACTCAGAATGGTACTTGGCCCAGGAATAATGTCTTCCTGCTGTCTGTGTTCTTCTGGCATAAAATCTCTGCATGATTCACAGGAGACCAAATAATTCTAGAGTAAGAAATCCCAAGCATTATATAAAAATACTTTCAAATAGACGATGAGAGCAAACATTGAAAGGGATAGATTTCCTCAACTGGATTAAGGTCCATGTCTATATTTTATCTTAAGAGTTTTCCATAAAAATTTTGCTGTTCATATTATACTGTTTATTGTTATCATCCCTGAATCATCATAAATGAATAAGCATTATATGCTGACAAAAAGGGAAAAATAGAAAATATCTCACTACTTGTTTTACTGTGTGTAGCAATGTGATACTGTCTTGAGATTTCAGGAAGAATTTTGGTATTTGTTTAATGCACAATTTCTTTAACTGACATCTTGGGAGCTGTGAGATGTGTAATATGTGTTAGTACGTGTATTTTGTATATATGTGCACAACAGCAATGGTCCAGCTCAGACACAAAGATGTTTGAAGTAGTTTTCTCAGCAGTGTGTTCATGAATTGAAAGATAAGCTTAGGGCAAAGACAGCATAGTTTCAGAAATTGACATTGCAAAACATATGCTTAAAATCACATAACAATTTGATTGCTATTTGGTTTGTTTTCTTTGTTGCTGGTTTGGTAAAAAAGCTACTGTGTTACTGATTATTTATGATTGATATTTTTCCAAATCAAGTATTTATCATTGAGCAATAAAATCGTATGTTGAGGGTAAAAACAGTACCTATATAGAAGTGTCCATATTACTATAACTACACTTATTTGCTGATGTGAATACTCAGGTTTGTTTGTCTCTTTGTTTTAAACTATATGGTCAATGGTCTTAATGACTTAAAATAAAATTCCTGCTCAATTTAAGGAGGCCCAATGAGCCTACAGTAGCCTATTGATTTTTATTTTTTTCTTATGGTTTCATGAGGAAAAAAAGTGGTTAAAATTTATGAGATAATCCCTGATAGCCCAAGATAGTAGGGATTCTTATAAAACATACATAATTTTCAAGGCCTCTGAAATTCAAACTAGATTATCTTGTACTACAATAATTTTAGGCTAATACTTGCTATTATATTTATATATATATATATGTTCTGGAGACAATATCTAGCTTTGTACAATGCAACATTGTATTTTATATCATCTCCAATTGAACACCACGTACACAGCTATAACGTTCTTAGAATGGAAGAGGATTTATGAATTTTGGAGGATAACTAGTAGTGTTTGACACACGGGGATTAACATTCAGTCTCTGAAGCATAATGGAAATACTAGTTTAAACATTAGTTCAAAATTTGACTAGTTAAAAATTAGATGAATAGTATCAATCACATGGGACTGTTGTGATACTTACATATTCTTGGCCAAAGTAGGTGCTCTATAATTGGTGGAAATCTTTGTTGTTGCTTAAGACTCATTTGATAATTTTTTATTACTCTGTCAGCCTATCAACATTTTGTCATCCATGTATCATCTATATTTGTCTTTCATAATTTCATAATTATCCAGTGATCTTGAATATTCTTTCAAGTATCTGTATATATATATACACACATATATATATGTAAAACCAAGCTGTTTTGGTTGTAACTTTTGTAGTAAATTATATTTTGTCATTTAATAACACCTCTTATAGAAACTCATGTTCCTGTGAATTATTTTTATTGAATGAGCTTCAGACTTCATAACACGCCTACAGTACATGTTAAATTGATAGAAAAATATTGTCACAATAATTTAATATTCACTGTCTCCACTTACTTATTCTAAGTATCTGAGTAAAAATAATCAGAAAACTGTAGAAATTCATAAACACAAACACTCACAGAGAGAGAGAGAACAAGTCCCTCAATAACATCAGTTTGTTCAACATAGTTTCCTGACAACATTGAGCAATAAAAAGAACAACAACAACAACAACAAACAGTTCCCATCAGTGCCACTGTCTGTGTAGAGCTTGCATGTTCTGTCCATCTCTGCATAGGTTTTTCTTTGGATGCACCAGTTTTCTCCCACATCCCAAAGATATGTACATTAGATGAATTGACTTATCTACATTGTCTGCATGTGGGTGTGTGTGTGAGCGCCCTGGATGCATCCTGTCGAGGCTTTGTTCCTGCCTTATGTCCTGAGCTGCCAGCACAGGCTTCATCCACCTGTGACTCTGAACTGGAATTATTGAGTAAATTATCTTACTTATTTTTATTAATGTTTTTAAATGTATGCATAGCTCATATTTATTTCAATGTTTAAAATTAGAAGCATTTTCCCCGTCGCTACTAAAAATACAAAAAATTAGCCGGGCGTAGTGGCGGGCGCCTGTAGTCCCAGCTACTTGGGAGGCTGAGGTAGGAGAATGGCGTGAATTCGGGAGGCGGAGCTTGCCGTGAGCTGAGATTGCGCCACTGCACTCCAGCCTGGGCGACGGATCTCAAAAAGAAAAAAGAAAAAAGAAAAAAATTAGAAGCATTTTGCCCTTTATTTTAAAGCTTGGTGGTGTCTTTGTATGCAGAAATATATGGTAGGAATTTAACTCTCATTTATATCAATTAGCCTATGGTAAAATTGGTTTCATTATACATCATTTTACTTAAAGTGACAGTTTCCAAGAACCTATCGATGACATTGAGGACTTAAGTGTATGTGTGTGTATATCTGTATGCGAGTGTGTGTGTATATATGTGTGTGTGTGTGTGTGTGTGTATATATATATATATATATATATATATATATATATATGCACACATTCCAGTACTTATCAATGAAAAGCTTGACAATAATCACTAGGCAAATAGGATGGAGCATTAGTTTTCTGTTGCTGCCACAACAAACTACCACAAACTTAGCAGTTTACAACACCCATTTATTATCCCACAGTCTGGTACATCAAAAGTCCAGGGACATCATTGCTCAGTTGGTACTTTGTTTGTCACAAGGCCAAACTCAAGGTGCCAGCAGCCTGTGTTTCTTTCTGGAAGATCTGGGCATGAATCTACTTCCAGACTCATTAGAGCTGTTTGCATGATTCAGTACCATTGTGGCTGTAGGACTACAGTGCCCTTTGGTTACTGGCTACTGGTTGGGGTCATTCCAAGCTTTAAGAGGCAACCTATATTTCAAGGTTTATGATATTCTTTCAGCTTTAATAACAGCAATGATTAGTCAACTCCTCCTTATGCATTAAAAATCTATGATGTCCTCTTCTACCTCACTCTTTTCTGCCTTCCTCCTCTGTTGCATCTCTCTAAATGTTCTTTCTTTTCTGCTTTTAAGTGCTCCTGTGATTACATTGAGCACACCTGATAATTCAGAATAATTTCTCTAAATTTAAGGTCAGTTGATTGGTATATAAAATTACATCTGCAAAGGCCCTTCATAACACAGCCTAGATTTGTGTTTGATTGAATAACCCGGAGTTGAGAAACTTGAAAGTGGCAAAGGCAACTTAGGAATTCTGCCTATCACAAAAAGAAAATCTTTTAATTTTGTTATTTGCATTAATATATCAATATAGAGGCAGCAAACCATTCTCATTGTGAATACAAAGGAAACTGATCAGTTGCCTATGCCAGTTGCCATAAGATTTATGGAAGCAAATTTAATAAATAGTGATGACTACAAACAGACATGTTTTGAATTTGTAGTTATAGCATGTGGCATTAATTACCTAGTTGCATTTTTTACAGATATCAAGCTTCATTTACTTCCTTAAAGTAATGGAGCAATTTGCAATATAATTCATATTTTCATATTACATTTCACAAATATAATTTTTCCTATTCTGACTATATTCCCCTAAGAAAAATGCCATGATTTGGGAGATTAATCTTATAAAGCATGGAGCTACTTCTTAATCTTATTCCAGCGATCTTAAGATTTAGTTAGTACTGTTAACTTACTATGAAATCCACCCTTTAGCTCATTTTATCAAAATAAATCTGGGCCCCTGAAAAATTAATTGACTTTTCCAGGTTTCTACAATGTGTTAGTGAAGAGAGGGAGATGATGTTTCTACCCCCTTCTCTTTATTTCATCTGTTAGTCTACATTACTTTGTTTTAGGGATTTAAGTTATTGCATCCATTTATTAACTGTGCTCCCAAATACTACATAGGCTTTTATAATAGAGAAAGCAATTTTCAAAATTTACGTTTTATTTTAAACATTCCATTCACAAGTTAATGTACACTAACAACAACAATTTTTTAAAACGCATGTTTTCTACTTGCTTTTGTTTTCTTTTTGCTTAGAAGAAGTTGTGATGTCCAAAAGGTTAAAGGCTTCACAGACCTTCATTGGCATTAGGGCATTCACACAGCAAAAAGCTATTAAAAACATCAATTTCACAGTATAAGTAGAAAGAAATTAAAACATGATTAATTTTTTATGAAAAATTCATTGGCTTTGGAAATAAATAAAATATTCTAGAAAACATTTTTATAGTCATTTGAAGAATAATATATGAATAAGGTAAAAATGCTAGAGGATTTGTATTTTGCCTGCCAAATATTTTTAAATAACTCAATAATCACCACCGTTAACAGGAATAGCAGTTATTCGCTTTGTATCTAATTTGTGTATGATACTTTTTGGTCCTAACAATAAGAGATATTTACAAAGTTGGCCCTGCAAATTACAACACCAAGATTATAAAGGCATATATGGAACACATATATAAAATTATTATTTTTTAACTGTTGAAATAGCTTTAGGACAAAGGAGTGTTAAGTATGACAATTCAGAGAAACTGGTTGTAACTCACAATTTGTTTAGACTCGTGCCTCTCAAAAGTGTGCACCCAGACCATTCATATCACCTGGGAACTTGTTAGAAAGGTAAGTTACCAGGCTCTGTCGTAGAGCTACTGAATGAGAACTTCTGGATAGAGGAACAGTTATCTGTGCTTTTATAAGCTCTGTAGGAGATTCTGAGAGAGCTAAAATTTAAAGGAACCACTCATCTGAGGGAAAGGGGGAAATAGTTTTTGAAAGCCTCGAATGCATCAAAAAGAACTTCTTAAAAACCTGGAGAACTTTACTTTTTGAACTGAGAATTTTGACAGGTTACTTTGTATGGAAGGTTCTTTGGGGGAGAGATTAAGAACAGATAAAGAACACAAATATTTAGATTATCTTTTAAGTTCTAAACAATTGCAGATTATTTGTAAAAAAGACAGCATTTTGAGAGTACTCTACTTGAGAATGAAGAGTTTACTCCTAGCAGATAATGTTGACTGAAAGGCAGAAACTGGGTAAGAGAATAATGATGAGATAGCAAGCAAGATAAGCAGTGGATTCCAACTTAATATGCAGGAGTTTATTACACACATAACCTTCTGTTTTTTCAATGCCAAGATAATTAAGAAGAAATAATTATACATTTATATAGGATTATTTCATTATGCAGAATAAAAGTAGTGAATCTATTTCTCCTCCAGGTCTTAAAGCTTCATTATATAAAAATATGTTGACCGCGTGCAGTCGCTCACGCCTGTAATCCCAGCACTTTGGAATGCCGAGGTGGGCGGATCACCTGAGATCAGGAGTTGGAGACCAGCCTGGCCAAGATGGTGAAACTCCATCTCTACTAAAAATACAAAATTAGCAGGGTGGTGCAGGACTGTAATCCCAGCTAATCGGAAGGCTGAGGCAGGAGAATCACTTGAACCCGGGAGACGAAGGTTACAGTGAACCGAGATTGTGCCATTGCACTCCAGCCTGGGCAAAAAGAGCAAAACTCCATCTCAAAAAAAAAAAAAAAAAAAAAAAAGTCCCTTCCTGATTTCCTTAGAGGAGTGACAACCATTTATATAATGATTAACAAACAGTATCTCATTTAAAGCAGTCTAGGTTATTATATCTCATTAAGTAAATAAATTTTAGCTTATGTACTTATAAATAACATTTATTAAATACATTATAAATGATTATTTTCATTTTGGATCTTATTTTTTCTCATATTTGTATACCGTTAAAATTTTAAAAATACTTAAATCCTGAGCCATATATTTGAGATATAAGTGAATTGTTTAAATCACTACAGTAATGAGAAAAGTCATGGAAATTTTTGGCCAGGCATGGTGGCTCATGCCTGTAATCCCAACACCTTGGGAGGCTGAAGAGGGAGGATCACTTAAGACCAGGAGTTTGGGACCAACCTGGGCAGCACAGGAAGACTGCATCGCTACAAAAACAATTATCATTATAGAAATTTTTATATAGAATCAGTGTATTATCAGAATACTCAGAATTATAAACTTAGCAACAAAAAAGAAATATTTTGTTTGAGTTATCAGTTGTGGACATATTATGTCAGTTTGGTGTCAACAATTTGCTTTATCTCAAGTGTAGCATACACAAGTTAACTGGTTATACCATGATCTAAACAGTTTGGTACGCAGTAATAATAATAAATAATGCAGACTTAGGCAACTTGTACAAACATTTCAAAACAGAAATTCCTGTTGAAACATTTTCAAAAGTGAATTTTATGAAACAATTTTGGAAGCCTCAGAAAATATTCTCTGATATTTTATTTTATTGCTATGTTTTATTTTGGGATGATCTTAAAGGACATCAACATAGACTACAGAAATAGCAAAACTTCTTTAGCATGTTATTGTTACAAGAAAGAGGTACTTGCATTTGTGTTTGTGTTTGCAATAAAGCTGGCACAAACAAGCGGGTAAGAAAAGAGTTGAGATGAATCTAATATGTTAATGATTACAACGGTGCCAAGTAGCGCAGAATGAAATTAAAGGACACTGCTCTAAAGATGCCCTCCAATCTGTACAAACAGAAATGCTGATGACATATGGAATATAACAGAACACGTGAAAAGCACTAATACCAGTACTGAAACTTTAAGCAGTAATTTAGTCAAAGCATATATGCATGGTCTATGCCACAAGGGAAAATAATAGCAAATATTTGTTGAGTGATTGGTGTCATAAATAGTTCTAAATGCTTAACATATATTGGATCCTTTGATTTTTATAATAATCTTATGAGGCAGGTCCACTTATTATCCCTATTTTACACATACGGAACCAAAGACACAAAAAAAGGTCAGGCAGCATGTTTTAGTACACACAGCTAAAAGACGGAACCAGAATTTAAAGCGGAAAAATGTCCTGCTTGTGCTAATAATATTAATCACTATGTTATATATGCACATATATATTAAATTGTATCCAATATTTATAGCAAACATTGCCATGATCATTTATACTCAATGATAATTTACAAGAACATTTTATCAGTTGTATGAGTAAAAATTAAGATTTTTTCTAATTTTCAAAATGGAAATTCTAACATTTTATTTCAGAGTAAGATGGAAAGATCTCAAATGAGAGCAGAAATAAATATCTTTTATATTCATAACTTTTGTGAATATATGACCATTCACCAAAAGCTATTAAACAACCTAGTGACTATTTGCTTTTTTGTATTAAAAAACTCGGAAAAAATGAAAGTCAAATTTCAAAGGGGATCTTTTTCTTTGAACTTAAAGACCATATAGGATCTTGATTTACTTCATTTTTTAACTAGATTGTTGAACATCACATTTTCATTTTACATTATGATTTCTTTAAAACACTTGTCATGAAAATAAATACTTCATTTTATACCTTTAAAATTCATAATAATATGAGTAATGCTATATATAAACATATACATAAGTGTATATGTCCTGAGTATACCAAAAGCACGTTTATATTCAATTTTTAAATAGTATGAGATACAAATTCTGGTCTTCATATTTTCTTTGGGACTTCATAATATCCAAGGAACATTAAAATACCAACTTAAAAATCCATGTAACTCTTCAAAATTGCATTGCTAAAATAAACAGATTCTCATTGCAATAAAAAAAGAAATTATTAAATGTCTATTTTAAAAAATGAAATCCCCTTTTAGAAAATCATTTGCAATAGAAACTTACCGAGGTAAACTTAATTTAAGACCAAATTCCTTTGACAGCTAAATAGTAATTGAATATAATCCAGGATATAATATATATAAAGAAGCATAATGAAATCCTTACCAATAACTTAATAAAACAATTACACAATACATCCAGATTAGAATTGTTTTGTAGAAAATAGGAAATGCTACATTGGTACCCACTAAAAGGAAAGCACATAAGACAATTTTTTTAGAAAAACAGCATAATCAGATAGTAAATGCTGTTTTGTTTAAAGTCACCTTGGTCTACATTTTCAAGATTGGCAATATGGACAACCACAGAAGCATGTAGATCACCCATGTTTTCTAAACAATGAGTTACCAATCTTCAGCATAATGTTTGTGGATACATTAAGTTGTTTCTGTTCTTCTTTTTCAGAAATTTGCCTGGTTAAAAACCATAACTGCTCTCTAAACACATGATAATAGAATTTTAACAAACGGTGCCTAAAATTATTTTCTTAAGCCAGTTATTTTCTAGTTTCATAGTCATTCTGCTCATTATCCATTTTGAGTAACATAAGAGGCCAAAATCTTTTAAACAGTGACAATTACTTACAAATATTTTGTAGTTCAAGAAAATAGATTGAATGCCAGTTTATTTCTGTCTAAAGAGACATGATAGCTTTATTTTACTTAGCTGCCTTTTATTGCTTAACTTTTACAGGACATTTAAATCATTTATAGGCAAGTGTCCACCAGATTAGAGTGAGTATAAGGAAGAGGGAGATGGAGAACATGACGTTGAAGGCTATTTCTGAACAAGTGATCCATGCCAGCCAATTGAAATATTTGATTCAATCTCTTTGAAGCTATTGTTTCTTTGAAAGGGCAAATTGCTGTTAAAATGGAGAACTGATGCTGGCTACTACAGTTAAAATAGTCTGCCCCTCAAGACTCATAGGGAAAATAGCTGAAGAATATAGAGTTTAAATGGGTTCTTGTTGTTTCCATTGGAGTCTTAACATTTACTTGCTTTTATTGATCTAAGGCTTATTAAATAAGTCTAGTAACTTAGTATTGTACGGTCTAGTGATTTATGCCTGTAGTCTTTAAATAGTGTGAGAGTCCTTGGAGAATGCTAAGCCTGAAGGCTATTAATAATATTCTTAATAATTTGCTTTGTTCTAATTTTTGATGTTTTCTAAATTAAAAGGAAGATGAGTACTTTAAAATCTATAGCTTTGTCCTAAAACACATGATTAAGCATGGATATCCATTTTTCTCAAAAACATATATAAAATGATGTAAATCAATTTATTTTTGTGGCACATATTGTCATCTGGGTATCTTAATGTTCCTTCTTGCTTTTTTCCTTGATAACCTGAGAGAGGAGCTATGTGCCACCTTCCTAATTGCCTTACATATAGCTTATGCATTTGCCATCACACATTAGAAATCTGCTGAGGTTTCTTCTTAAGCTGTGTTTTCCTGATAGAAAGGAAATGACATGAATTTTCCCTTATCCTCTTCCCTTTCTAACTTAAGGTCAACCTGATACCTGACTGAAGCAGCTTTCAGGAAACAAGGAGACAGCAAACCTGAGGAAAATAATCATAGAAATGTTAGCCACAATAGTGTCGAGTCATTCAATCAGTAGCAGCCCTGGTTTTGCCTGATTTTATTATTCTATTAAAAAAAGCACCCTGATTTTCTAAGAGGCAACATTAAGGCTTTCTGTTTCTTGCAGTTATAACTAAACTGCTGTTTTTTTAATGAAAAGATATTGATTGATGTTTTGTATGTATCCCATAGAGTCTACAACTGACATGTGCCGATAGTAGCTATTTTTTTTAATTGTTCAAATTTTATAGCTGCAACATGCACATGGATCCATTGGCTGTGTGACTACAGGAGGGCAGGCAGGGATTTGGTGACCTTCTTGTACTGTGTGTGGTCTGCACCATGATGCTGCTACTGCTCTCTTGGCTTCTAACTATGTGATAGTATCCCAGACAGTCCCAGCAGCTACACTCAAATTTAGGGAAGAGTTGATGGCCTATGGCATGAACTTTGGATCAATGGGAAATAAAAGTACAAAAGAGAGGTTCAGGCAGATGAAGTCTTATCTCTTTCCCTGCACAACAGATTTTTTTCAGAGACTCACTATTTCATATAGTCCTCTGAGGTTTCCTACTGAGACTGTGTGAACCACCAACTGTGCTTGTCAGGAACTGAAGCTATTTCAGTAATGCATCTCCTTGTATCCTTGTATTTTCCCAATTTCCTTTCTGGCCTCACTTTCATAATCCCCTTATATTGTTTTCCTGTGACCTCACTGACCAGTAAAGTTATAGCATGTAAATCTTGCCTCAGGACATATTTTTCTAGAGAATATGAACTAAGAAAACTAATGTGCTTGGAAAATTTTTTTCTGAGATAAGACTATTGTATTCACTACAGTATGTTGCAACTTTCCCCTCTTTAGATCTATTGTAGTAGTGAATTCTCTTCTCTCCCTAACCTTAATAGTCATTTTATTTATACAAATGTTCTGTGACATTCCTGGAGTAATGACTCCATCAGTCTATGGAGCTTCCTACCCCTGGTCCTCACCAATGTTAATTCTGAACACTTTCTTTGTTTTAAAGTTGATAAGGTTTTTTTAACAGTAGGATCAGATAAATAGTTATCCATATTTTTAATAGTGCTTTAGATATTTTTAATCTACTTGGGTTTTATTGAGATATAACTAAAAATTAAAATACTTTTCTTAGAGCTAACTAGCATTTTTCTTAAAGCTAACTAGTACTAGTACTTCTGATTTTTCTTAAAACATTTTTCTCTAGCATACATTGATTTATGAACACAGAATGTAATACACCCACAAAATATGTGTTAAGCAATTATTTATGTTATCAGTAAGGATTCTGGTCAAATAAAAGACTATTCATAGTTATATTTCTGAGGAGTCAAAAGTTAAGTGCAGATTTTTTTTTTTTTTTTTTTTTTGAGACCGAGTCTTGCTCTGTCGCCCAGGCTGGAGTGCAGTGGCGCGATCTCAGCTCACTGCAAGCTCCGCCTCCTGGGTTTACACCATTCTCCCGTTTCAGCCTCCGGAGTAACTGGGACTACAGGCGCCCACCACCATGCCTGGCTAATTTTTTGTATTTTTAGTAGAGATGGGGTTTCACCGTGTTAGCCAGGATGGTCTCGATCTCCTGACCCTGTGATCCACCCGCCTCGGCCTCCCAAAGTGCTGGGATTACAGGCGTGAGCCACCGCTCCCAGCCTAAGTGCAGATTTTTGATGGCATGGGAACCAGTTTTCCTACCCCTCCATTGTTCAAGGGTCAATTGTATATATAAAGAATGTGTGTGTGTGTGTGTTGTGTTATATAATTTGTTAAATTAACAAAATAAATATTATCATTTATTTCAAAACCATTTTATTTGACTCGAATGTAAGTTTCAGTCCTTCTCCCTTAAACACAAAATAGTACACTAATTACCATCAAGCGGATACATAGAAAGTCTCCTAAATGTGTTTCCTGTATAAGCTGTATAGTAGTAATCAGAAAGTAATCAGAAATTTAAAAATGAATTTCCTTAAACAGGTATCAAGCAGTGGGGGAATAATTCAAGGAGGTTAAGCCTTTTCACATCTTGTAGGAGGTTATGAATAGAAATCTTTTCACAGAGCACAGTTAATTTAATTTGAATTTTAAATCTTGACTCTTTAATTGACCCCCTTATTCTAAAACAGTGGAACTAAAGACTTAATGGATTTTTTTTAAGCTAATTAGAATCTGGTTTAAACTGCACACCCACTCCCAGAAGGAAACCTTTTACGGTGTAACAGATGACTTACTATTAAATATTTTACAATATAGCAGAAATATCTTACATATTGTGAATATGTGTAATAGGTCAAGTTTCTTGCTCTCACTACATTTGTCAAGCTAGGAGATCTAATTCCCTAAAATCAAATCAGTCTGGAATGACAACGTCTTTAACCAAACATCTATAGAATCGAAGGCAAGACACTGGAGGATAGTGTCTGCAAAAAATTCAAGATTTACAAGGAATCTTAGAATTTATCAAGCCTAAAAATTATCTGACACAAATATGCTACAATAATCTCTTGAAAGTCCTAATACCATCACATTAATATACTGAGACATCAAATTCTAATTTGGTGCTGTAATAGTTAGATATTAATATTTTTGTACAGTTCTAACATGGTATGTTTTTGATAATATTCTTTCTCCAACCCAAATAGAATAAGTATTTTCTTTTTTACATGACAGCCCCATCACATATTTGAAAATTGCTGTTCAAAATAATAGCTAATACTGAGTACTTACTAAATGTCAGGCATGATTCCTAGGGCTTTATCTGAATCACTTCAAGTATTTCTACCTTATAAGGTAGACAATACTTTTAGAAGACAAAGAGGAGGCACAGAAAGGCTAAATCGCTCTTCGTCTTATCACTAGTAAATGCTGAAGTCAGATTACAATCCACATTATGGTTTCTTGCTCTGAGTTAAGTATGACATTCCCTGTCACCTATTTCCAAAAAATCATTTCCCCTAGGGGTTTTTCTACCTTTCTAGTCTAAAGAAAGTAATACGTTTAAAAATATTAGGGAGTTTAATACAAAATAAGTATTAAGTGTGTTTATTTTCATTTCCCAATTTACATGTATTCATTAGAAAAAAATTAAAATCATAGATAAACCAAACTAAAAAACAAAGTTTTCTATAATCTCACCACTTAGAAAAAACCACAATAGTAAACTGTTGTATATAAAATATTCTGTTCTATTCTAAAAATGATATGTATCACCAATTTATCATCTACCTCTCTGCTTCCTCTCTTAAAGCTTCTTCTCACCTTCCAAATAATATCAATTTTACAAAACACTCTGAACAAATATACATTAAGATATTGTACAAATCTATTTGCATCATAAAAAATAAATAAATTTAACACAATGTCTTATTTTCTGGCACATTTCCATTTGGGAGTTTCTTGTTTCTCTCTTTTCTCTCAAAGCATTTAACTTTCATCATTGAACTAGGACACCACCCAACTTCTTATCAACTGAATGCTCTAGTTGAGCTTCGTAGTTGCTATAGTTTGAATGTTTTTGTTCCCTCCATAATTCATGTTGAAATTTAATTCCTAATGCAACAGAATTGAGAAGTGTGGCCTTTGGAAGGTGACTGAGTAATGAGGGCTCCACCCTCATGAATGGGAGGGCTTGCAGAAGGGTTATCACCCCTTTTGATCTTCTGCCATCTGCCAAAGTCCTTCACTGGACACCAGATGCTGGCATCTCAATCTTGGATGTTCCAGACTTTACAGCTGTAAGAAATAAATTTCTGTTCTTTACAAATTACCCAGTCTCACAAATTTTGTTATAGCAGCACAAAATAGACTTAAGAAAATGTTGGAGAATATGTAGCCATTCTTTATTCAAATATGGCTAAAAAATAGTTTCTTGTTTGTTTTTTACAGCTTTATTGAGCTATTATTCAAATATCATATAACACCTATTTATGGCATTGAATTTAATAATGTTTAGTGTATCATAGACATGTGCAGTCATCATGCTAGTCAATGTTACAACTCTTTTTATGGCTGCAAAAATAAACCCCATGCACATTAGTTATCACCTCCTTATCTTCTCACTCTACTTCATAGCCCTTAAGCAACCACTAATCTATTTTCTTCTTCTATATAATACTCTATTCCAGACATTACATAAATGATTTAGGCATCAGTTAAGGAAGAACCAGTTAGATTTCTAATTTCCAACACTAGATAATATTAAGTATAAGTTAAAAATAAATACTGATAATTAAAATTTGTATTTAATTTTAAAAGGCATTTCTAGGTAAAAACTTGATTTAATGAGTTTTTTTTTGTTACTGTAGTTATAAAAAGTTAGCTAGCTAGTGAATAAAAAGGAACAACATACAAATCACCATTTATCTACTATCATCAGTGTTTTATAAACTGCTATGTACTGAATATTTTTGTCCGACCAAAATTAATGTTGAAATCCTAACTCTCAAAGTGATGGTATTAAAAGTGGGGCCTTTCAGAGGTGATTAAATCATGATAGCTCAACCCTCATAAATTGCATTGGTGCCAATATAAAAGAAGCCCAGAGAGTTCATTCACCCTCCCATCAAAGTTAAAGCAAGACTAAAGCCATCTATGAATCAGGAAGTTGATCCTCGACAGATAGCGAATCCGCTGGCACTTTGGTCTTGGACTTCCCAACACCTCAACCTGTAAAATTAATATTTTTTTGTTTATAAGTCACCCACTCTATTGTATTCTATTATAACTGCCCAAACAAACTGAAACACAAAACATCACTATAAATATCAACATCAAAGAACTGAAAAAAATCGCAAGCTTTTAACCCAAACTATAGCATATCTCATTGAGAGTAGAGGATTTATTAACAGAATTCAATGTAAAGGATCGAAATATTAGTTACAGAAGAAGGGTTGAATGGTAACATTTTTACTTTCAGATAATAGTTTAAATGATCTAAGTGCATGCTGAAGATCCAAAGTGACCTTTAAAACAGATCTATCAGTAACTTTTATTTATTCTCATCTATTAGAAAACCAACAGTGTTCATGGCAACACAGTTGGCATTGGCTCAAAGATGTTAGTGTCTCTGCCGGGTCATGTGTTGACAACAATCTCCTGTTGCTTGTCCATTTGCTATGCTTGGCAAACCTCCAGATTCATTTAAAAAAATAGAGAAAGAAAAAGAAAACACCAACAAAGAATGGTAGAAGAAGCAGTTCACCGTAAATACTTAATGATTATTACTACAAGAGTTATGAAGATTACTTTCAGATTACGGCATCTAGTATTTTTTAAAATTGTTCCTTTCAATATTTCCATGCCCACAGAACCAGAATCTTGTGACTGAAGGCCATGTGATTACTGAATTGGAGAATACATAAAGAAATATCGAATAATTGTACACTTCTCTTCCAAAATCATTAGTCTAAAATGTCAAATACTAATGCTTTGTTCTGATAGAGTATGAATTCCACAAAGGCTTTTAAGTTGGGAGATTCAGTTATCCATTCGTAATGTTGTGAGACATGCAAAGTACCTGGGGCTATACATACAAAGATAATGTTGAGAGATTTCTATATCACAGCACATAAATACCAAGCTGTTGGGAGTAAATATACCTTTTGTGACATGACATTATATGCTGTAAGAGTGGTTTTATTTACACATAGCTTTTATTGTCTTTTATCTTCTTAAACTGTACAACAAAATGGCATGCCAATAATATTAAGTTAGTAAAAAAAGAATATAGATTTGTTAGAGACAAATATCAAATAGTCTTGTCTAATAAATGGGCTAATATATTTATGTTTTAATTCATATTGTTAATGATAACAGTATTTTTATATCTGTAGAAGTGTATTTTTCTCCTTCTTAAACAACAGAAAGTTAGATTAATATGCTCACATAGAACCAATGGCATATAATAGTAATATGTATTTCTATTTTCCTTCTTTGGTCAGTTTTTATTGCATGTAGATGAATTTTAAAAATCTTTGTATTTCAAATCTTTGCCACTGCCTAATTCATTGTAAATTGAAAGACAATGTTTCTCAATGTACAGAAAGAGTAGTCATTTACAAAAAAAATCTGTAATGTGTCAAAGACTCCTCCTGTTCCTTTAGAGGAATATGCTAGAGTATTGAGGTAAAACATATATTTAAAAATTCCCTATAATGTCCCCTATGTCACATAAATATTATGTAAAACAAGCACTCAATATATTCTCAGAAATCATTTTCTTTTTATAGTCATGTATATTGACTCCATGTAATTAAAAAGCATTATATGGCCAATTGTTTGTTATTGCCTAGTCTTATTCAATTTTTTTGAAAGAGTTTAACATGTATTTTTACCTTATAGGATAGAAACAATAGTTTGGCAGGCAAAGTAAGAAAGTGTCTTAATACAGAAACTAACAATAGTAACAAAAGTGATAATTATATTAGAAAATTAACATTTATAAGAACTGAAATAAACTAGGCGTTTTCAAAGCCATTTGAAGATGCAAGATATGTTCTATTATAGCTTAATTCAATAATGCTTAGTTAATATCTAGTCTTTTAAGGGTTAACAAAATGAAAATTCAACACAGGCTATACATGTAGCAAAGAGAAAAGAGGTAATAAAAATCCAGAATACAATACTAAAATTAAAATTAAACATTTATGTTAGATGATTATGTATCATAAACTCACCAATTAAGATAAATAGGTTAGAAAATAACCAAACTATTCTGGGGGAGAATTGAAAGAAAAACTGAAATGCTATATAATAGGCAAACATCTGAAGTAGCATGACTGAGAACTATTGAAAGCACAAATCTATGCTCAGACAAACCAGTTACATTTATATAAAAATAGGGATCAATTATATTATAAATTTTAAGTGCAAAGAAAAAATATATAAATCATGCAATTGTAAATCTTGCTTTGTGTTTGTTTTCAGCATTATGGGACTTTCTGGTATAATTCAACTAGATCTTGAATAAACTAATGATGAAAACAAGATACAAATATTCCATTCCACTGCAATAGAACAACCCACAAACATACAACAATTTTAAAAAATCCGCATTGCTTCAAAGGTATTATTGGAGCTAGAAAACTTAAGGAAAATATATATCTATGATCAGAGAACAATAAAAAGTATCTGAAACCTGAGCAAGTTCAAGGGAAATATGCAATATTGAAGATGTTATATTTGTTATGGAGACAAAGGCAAACAATAGCAGTGGAATTTGGAGAATAAACTTTGTGCTCTCAAAGAGTAAGAAAACGGTATTAAGTATAAGAAATGATAACATAGGGTAACAATAAAGACATTTTGTCTTACTCTTTGAATCTCTTTAAAATACAATTGATTTTTAAAGCAATAATAAAAACAATAAAACAATAAAACAATGAAAACAATAAAAACAATTGTGGAATTTGTAACACATTAGTAATAAAATGCATGATACCCATCTCCTAAAACCAGAAGGGTAAAGATGAAATATAATATTATAAGAATCTTGACCTAGTTGAAATGATATAATATCATTTGCAAGCAGACTGATAAATTATAGGTATATATGGTCAATCCTAAAACAAGTACTTAAATTACATAAAGTTGCACAGCTAGTCAAAAAAGAGATAATATGAGATAATAAAAATATTAAATTGGGTCAGGTGTGGTGGCTCACACCTGTAATCTCAATATTTTGAGAGGCCGAGGCAGGTGGCTTACTTGAGCCTAGGACTTACAGACCAGTCTGGGCAACATGGCAAAATCCCAGCTCTACCAAAAATACAAAAATTAGCCAAGCGTAGTGGCATGCCTATAGTCCCAGCTACTTGGTAGGCTGAAGAGGGAGGATCAATTGATCCTGGGAGGTAGAAGCTACAGTGAGCTGTGATCACACCAATGCACTCCAGCCTGGGCAACAAAGTGAGACCCTGTCTCACAAAATAATAATAATAATAATAATAATGATACAAAAATAAATTAATTTAGAAGTAGGTAGTAAAAGAGGAAGAAAAGGACAAAAATGGAAGAAACAAGTATAAAACCAATACCAAAAGGCATGATGTAAATAAATTCATTCATAAGAAAGTCACATTAAATTTAAATGGTTTAAATAGCTATGGCACAGAAAGAGATTGTCAGGCCTAAATACATACACAAATATACTATGTTCATAATATAGTTAATGTCAGTTCTTCCAAAACTGATCTATAAATTCAACAAAATGCCAATGAAAAAATCTCAGAAGCCCTTTTTTTGTATAATCAGCTGATTTAAAAATTTTTATGAAAATGAAAAACCTTAGAATATCCAGAACAGCTTTGAAAAAAAAAGAACAAAGTTAAAGGACTTATACCACTTAAAACATTATTATAAAATTACAGTAATTAATACAGTGTGATATTGACCTCAAGATGCACAAATAAATCAATGGAACAGTCTAGAAGGTGTATTTCTTATACCCATGCATATCGAAGCAATTGATTTTTGACAAAAGTACAAAAGGAATTCAGTGGGAAAAGAATATCTTTTTCAATAAATGGTACTGAAATAGATATATCTATATGCTAAAAAATTAAGAATCTTAAATCCGTATGTCACAGCATAACAAAAATTATCTGAAAATAGATCATAGGCCTAAAAGTAAAGCCTAAAACTAGAAAAAAGTTTATAACAAAACATAGGAAAAAAAATCTTTGTGACCCTGGCATAATTCATTACAAAAATTAAGTAAATAATCATTATTAAAAACTTTGGCTCTTCCAAAAACACTGTTAAGAGGATCAAAATACAAGTCACAGACTGGGAGATTTATAATGTATCTAATAAAGAACTTCTATCCAGAATTTATAACACCTTCTCAAAACAATAATAAGAAAACAAAAACCATTAACAGAATAGGCAGATTTGAGCAGATCCTTTTCTAAGAAAATATGCAGATCACAAATACATCATAAAAAGTTGCTAATATCATTACCTATTAGGTAAACTTCAGCGTGAATTAAAATCAGTGAATTTTATTAAAATGTTTTTAAAAAGACAGATCATTGACAAGAAAGTGAAGCAAATGAAAATCTTGTGCATTCATAATGGGAATGCGGAATAGCATCACCTTTTGGGAAATTGTTTGTTTCTTATAATGTTAATAATATATTTACTATGTGATTCAAATATTTTACCACTAAGTGTTTACACAGGATAAATAAAAACATATGCTCATACAAAAACTCATATATGAATGTTCATTGACAGCATTCTTTTAATAGCCAACATGGGAAACAACCTAAATATCCACCAACAATGGGGAGAACTCTTGGAGAGAGAACTAAGGAGAGAACTTCAACAATTTTTTTGTTTTTTTTTTTTAGTTTTCAAGAGAGACTTGGATATAATATTTTTGCTCCTTCATAATGTCTTTTATCCAAGGGGAGAGGATTTGGCAATCAAATATTTGCAAGCTTGATATTCATCACGGCTGCCTTTATTATGTGCTAGGATCTGTTTGTTGGCAGTCAGAGAGAAATGCACAGGCTTCTATTCACTGATTTGGGAAGAGAGCCAAAGCTTTTTGAGTGTTTAAGGATGTCTGGGCACCACAGAGTGGCAGCCTGTGTCAGGATTCTGTTAGGATTACTAACCAATTAACTGAATGTCCTAGGTCAACTTCTAGCTAGTCATGGGGCATACAACTGAGTTCTTCTCGGCTTCTTTTTCTGCCTGTAATGGACAAGGTGAAGCAGGCCTGCTTTATTTATCTAGGCAGCTGTTTGGGTTACTGGACTTTATATATACTGCCCATATTTGTACATTTTTCAGTTCTCTCTTCATTTTCATTCTTCTCTCTCTCTCCTTTGCCTGACCAGACAGGTTCAGGAGTAAGATTTAAGTTGGAATTAGCCTTGAGTTTTTAGCAAGAGGTAAGGTGCTTGCTGATTTGGTGAGCTTCATTCAAAACCGTGAAGGCTCAAATGTTTATTGAATTGCCCAAGTTATTCCAATAAGTAATTGGAAGGATGTGAAATCAGAATTGTTTTATTTCTTCATGCTTGTAGTTACACAGATGAATTTTATTGCACTATAGTTTCATGAAGATGCCTATTAACAGAAGTTTTTAGTTGTTACAAAGATGAGTGCGTTTTACTTGATGAAGGTTTATAGGTTACAAAATATAAAAATACATCATGTCTCTTCACATTTTTAAAGAATAACATTTTTTACTATTCTAAGACATTTGTTATTGTCCATTCATAGTTTAAATTTAAACTACTTTTTTTTAGAGTCAAGTGTTATTGTTATTATTATCATTATTTTGAGACAGGGTCACACGCTGTCGCCCAGGTTGGAGTTCAGTGGCGCGATCTCAGCTCACTACAACCTCTGCCCCACAGTGTCAAGAGATCCTCCAACCTCAGCCTCCCGAGTAGCTGGGACCACAAGTGTGCACCACCACACATAGCTAACTTTTTGTATTTTTGATAAAGACGGGGTTTCACCATGTTTCCCAGGCTGGCCTCAAATTCCTGAGCTCAGAATATCCACCTGCCTCGACATCCCAAAATGTTGGGATTACAAATGTGAGCCACCACACGTGGCCTGAAAAAGACAAATGTTATTTTTAAATGGCTATGCCTGTGTTGTATTTGAAGCAATAAAATATTTGAAGCATTTAAAAGCATAATATCTTCTCCCTTTCTAATATATATTGCAAATAGTTTTGATATTTCTAAAAATTTATTCAAATATGATTATAACCAGCTCTCAAAAATATTCACACATGCATAAGAAGAGTAAATCTATAAAACAAATTTAATGGCATTATTTCTAAAACTTTATATTTGCCTTTTGGATAAATCTGGAGATGTCTTTTAGGCTATGAGAAACATTGAACTTGGAAAATTCAATGCCAAAAAAGAATAATGGAATCCGTTTATTTTTATTTGCCTTGTGAGATATTTGGTATTATCCAGGTATACTGTCTTAACATTTGCCTAAATTTTCCTATTACTATTTCCATGTTGGCATTAAAGACTTACTGATGGATAGATAATGCAGTTACATTCTCCAAAACTTTGTTCAAGCTGAAGAGAACAAGTTTATGCAAAATCTTCTGCCTAAAAATAAATATATTTTATGATTTGGTTACAGAGACATGACATGTGGAAAATGCTATAGAATGATTATCTCATAATTGTTTTCACAATTATTACTGAAAACCATAAAGAGCAAGTAGAACACTGAGTCTCATAGTAGATAAATGGTATCTTGAAAAATAATGGCAATTGTAGCATGCAAACTTTATGTAGTTTGCCCATTTTATTATGTTAAACAGCACTAGCTATGTCAAGATGTCACTCTCTCCTAGGAATAGTAATCATGGAATCACTATCTTTATGAACAAATTCTTTTTATGTGTAGTTTTGTAATATAATTTTCCTAGGGCCACTTGCTCATCATTTCTTTTTATTTTTTATTATTTATTTTATTTATTTATTTATTTACTTATTTTTTGAGATGGAGTTTCACTCTTTCGCCCAGGCTGGAGTGATGAAGTGGCAGGATCTCAGCTCACTGCAATCTCTGTCCCCCAGGTTCAAGTGATTCTTGTGCTTCAGCCTCCTGAGTAGCTGGGATTACAGGCACCTGCCACCATGCCTGGCTACTTTTCATATTTTTAGTAGAGACAGGGCTTTGCCATGTTGGCCAGGCTGGTCTTGAACTCCTGACCTCATGTGATCCACTCGCTTCGGCCTCCCAAAGTGCTAGGATTACAAGCGTGAGCCACCACTTCCGGCAAATGTAGAATATTTTTCACAGGATTGCATGGAATTTCAAAATTTAATCCAGGAGGTAAAATGTAATTTTAAAATAATTGTGAGATATGTTAAAATGTTTCTATTTAAAACCAAAGCCATATGTTAATTTTGAAATATATTTATGCTATATCTAAATTATATAAAATATTATATTTCTCTGAACAGCTTGTTGACATACTTGAGTACAAATAGTTGATGAGTTTGTCATCATATGCTTGTCTCCAAATTAGACCAAGTACAGTGGTTCAATTTTTTTTTTAATTTAAGGAAACTATCCAAACTTCAAAATTACAAAATTAAAAAAGAAAATAAGACAAGATTAAACATCATGTTTATGTGTCTGCTTATTTGTGTGTATGTGATTTCTGAATATTTCCCACTGGCTCCATTTTCATAAGCCTGTAATTGAGAATTGCCATCATAATGATTAGTAAGGAAACTTAGTATCATGATTCTTCCTTGTAAATTATGGTTCCTCCTTACCACATTATGAGATTCATAATAGCTGCATATAAATAAGAGAAAGTAAAGTCCTAAAGTCCAAATGGAACAAAAACTATGTCGATCTATTTATACACTTCAGTAATCAGCCAAACATTGGTAACAATATTTATTTTAAAAAACAAATAACTATCTAAATCTTACTTTCGACTTAAGCGTTCTAAGGTCAAAGCATCTGGGTTTTTGAAACAGCATTTGAATCTGTCTAGGCCACCACCTAAATGCCAATGCCTAAACTGTAGAGATAAGTTTTATCTTAGGCTTACATTTTCCTGATAATGTGTTTAATATATAAATAATAGAACACTTCAGCATATCCACAAGAAAAAGCCAACAATCTTAAAAGCCAAATAATAATATGAGTTAGAAATCAGCAAAAAAGGAAACCTCAAAGACTCACAAAGGTAGGAATAAGTTCTCAGACATTATTAATTTTAAAATGCAAATTGAAACAATAATAAAATAACAACTTGACATATTTTGTCCTGTCAAACATTCAGAAACCTGATAATGCCAAAATTTTGTGGAAATACAGGGAAATGGAAAGCTTCATGCAGTTTTGGTAGCTGTGCCGCCCGCTCTAAATTACAAGAGTGCAATCTGGCACTCTGAGTGTACACTATTTTAAAAAAATTTTCCCAGAGGTCTATTAGGAGAACATAAAATAGATATTGAGTAAAAAATACTTTGTAGAAATTATTCATTGAAGACAATCACAAGGAGATTGTCTATGTACAATGTGATATATGCATATCTGAAAAACTATAATGCATCAGAAAGAAATGAACTAGCTATATCACATGTAAGGGTAATTTTTAAAGAGTGCTGAATGAACAATAAAAATAATATAATAAGGTTACATAATTTAATGTCATTTATATAAGTAAAGATTCCTTGCACAGAAATTATCTCCATATACAAAAAATAGTTCACATATTAGAAAGATATTTTTATATAAAATATGATTTGAACTTCATTTTCTCTTATTTTATAAAAATGTTATTGCAAACTGTGAATACATAAGGATAATTAAAGCAAGAAAAAAACAAGAAAGATGCCCTATATTGACCAAAAAGAATAATACATTTTGAAATGTATGAATAAGTGGGGAATGTGCATAAAAGAATGAATACATATAATTGAATCGAGATTTTTGCTTAATTGATGAATGATGTGAATATTTACATTCAGAAAGCACAGCTTCTCTCAATTAGGATTAACAGAAAGAAACTTACCTTCAAATATTGTAGTAAAGCTGTAGACCACTGAAGAAAAACAAAGATCTCAAAAGCAAGTCATGGAAAAAATGCATTTTTGAAAAAGTCTCTGAGATTAACAGCAGACTTCTTAGCAAAAAGCCAGTAGAATGATATTTTCATGGTGGTGACAGAAAAGAACTCCTCACCAGAATGGCATGGCCACTTCAATAATAACTCACTGCCACTTCCAATTATCTTTTGCCAGGCAGGTAGCCAACACCTCCTCAACACACATACTGGTTCAAAATCATTTCCAGATTTTCCCCCAAAGTGTATCAGTAAACAACCAATTTCTAAAATTAAACAAAAAAGCACAGAGATTTCTCTTAAAATAAATAAATGCTAGATGAGGAATTAGTTATTTAGATAATGTCAAAACTGGAAGCCACACAGGAAAGTGAGGCAACCCAGACTGTGGCATGAACAAGAAGCCTCTGCCTTCTCCCCACATAACCCTGGAGGGATACAACTGAGGAGAATGTTTACCTGAAGCCAGGATTCTGAGCCACTCCCCAGGAAGCTGGAAACTCAACATACCTACCTGACTGAAGTTCAAACCAGGAAAGTAAGAATTGTTAGGTTGGACCTAAAATCATCATATCCATATATAAAATCAGGAAAAAGTTTAGAACATTTTTAATCACCATTTTTCAATGTCTAATTCATAATGTATGCTGTTGTGAATCTAAGTATTTAAAAAGCTGGTACAGATATTTTTCTGTGTGAAACCACAGCCACCAGGTTTACAATTTTCCGAAGTTGGTTTAAATAAAATGTGTAAATCTACTTCTGCTCTAGTCTAAATTGCATGCCAAGGAAAATCATGGAAAATTATTTCTGTAAAGGGCCAGATAGTAAATATCTGCAGCTTTGTGGGAGATACAGTATCTGTTGCTAGTAGTCACACTTGCTATTGCAGGATGAAAATAGGCATAGACAATATGTAATTTATGGACAGAATTATGTTTGCCCTGCAAGGGGGTAAGATTTAGCTCATGCACTATAGTTTGCCAATATCAGTTTTAGAGTAAAGCTCCATTCTAATTATGGCTTCACATGTTCATCAAAGATTGTAAAAACAAATTCAATATGCTTTAAAAAGATATGGACCATTGAAGATAAAGCCTTATTTCCTTTGAAATGGTAAAATGTTTAAAACAATGAAAATCTTATGATCATTGGGCAATTCACATTCCTGGAAATTGATTTTATAAATATCTGAAGTGAATATGAAAACATTCAAATATGTTCAGATTTTTCTACAAAATGGAAAAATTCCGACAGAATGACACTTAAATATTAAATAACAATTCTAGTTATAAGACCCTTTGATTTGGAATTAACGTGTATGTTTCCATCTGCATGTGAAATTGATAACCTGGAAATTAATTGAACTAAAGAAGAAAAGAAGAATGAACGGAAGGATGAAATTGGGAGAAAAGGTAAGAGTAAAGGAGTAAGGAAAATTATAATTGAGCTTGAATGTGAAGATTTGATTCGGGAGGTTTCAGATTTTCCAAGTTTCTTGCCTTAGCTTTTGACCTAGTCATCATTATCCTCCTCACAGTGAAGTTAATGACCCTTACCTAGACTCATAAAAGAGTTGTCCTAATTCAAAACTTTTCTAAATCGAAGGAGAGAAAAAAGGTGCAAGCGATATGATTTATACTAGCTAAATAAAGAAAAAAAAGAAAGAAAGAGAAGAAAGGAGGAAGAAAGAAAGTAAGAAAAGGAAGGAAGGAAGGGGGGGATGGAGGGAGGAGAGAGGAAAACAAGGAAGGACCGTATAAAGATCTAACAAAATAAATTCTAATACTTTATTGAATGACTTTAAGAAGACTGCAATAGAAAATTCTAATGTGTTTATCAATAAGAAGAAAAATAAATATGATTAATGTCAGCTGCCTCCATATTAATCTTTACATTTGATTCAATTCCACTGAAAACTTCAACAGAACCCTTCACAGAACTTCGACATTTTGATCTTCAGTTTTATAAAGAAGAATAGACCGGGCGCGGTTGCTCACGCCTGTAATCCCAGGACTTTGGGAGGCCGAGGTGGGCGGATCACGAGGTCAGGTGTTCCAGATCAGCCTGGCCAACATAGTGAAACCTTGTCTCTACTAAAAATACAAAAACTTAGCTGGGAGTGGTGGTGGGCACCTGTAATCCCAGCTACTAGGGAGGCTGAGGCAGCAGAATCGCTTGAACCCCGGAGGCAGAGGTTTCAGTGAGCCGAGATCATGCCATTGCACTCCAGCCCGGGGAACAGTGCAAGACTCCATCAAAAATAAATAAATAAATAAATAAATAAATAAATAAATAAATAAATGGCTAAAATTGGGACATCTTAAAATAAGAGCCAAATGGAGGGACTTACTGTACCAGGTAACAAGCCTTATTGTAAAGTTATAATAAATAATACCAGGAAGGATTAGGAGGGAATAAACAAATGGTCAATAAAAGACAATTAAGTACTCTGTAGAAGAAATACATCTGAGGTGACGTGAAAATCACTGATGAATGCTTAATACGTGAACAGCAGATGCAGGTGCAGAAATTGGTCAATTACATGAAAAAACAAAATGTAATACTTAACTCATAGCCATGCACAAAAAGCGTTTTGAAATAAGGTAAAAAATTACACGTGAAAAGCTAAACTTTCAATTTTAGAAACAAATATAGTGGAGTATATTTACGCCCTTGGTTTAGGGATAGGTTTCTTAAGTAAACCACAGAGGTACAAGCGTGAAAGCATCAAAAGAGTTATATTTTTGGTAAAATTAAAATTAAGATATCTTCTCTTAAAATTAAAATGTCTTCAGCCTCAGAATAATAAATGAAAAGTCTATTACTTAGACTATGTAAAATTTCTAGAAATCTATACATAAAGAGACAGAAATGAACAAACCCAACACATCATTCATAGAGGAATAAAAACAAATGCTGATACATACTTTTTAGAGCACTTAACCTTAACCATCATTTGAGAAAATAAAATCCACATCTATTTTAAAAACAAACACATACTTCAGTCACACTATCAGACAAAATGAAGAACAATAGGAACTCTTAAACACTGCTGGCTGAGATGAATATTGGCTGAGTGCTATTTGGCAATATGAGGTGAAGTTGAAAATGAAGATATACATACCGTATAAACACAAAGGTTTCTATTCATAAGTCTTGAGTAACACCTGCAAAAGAATATTCATTGAACTGTGTCTATATTAGCAAAAATGTAGGAAAAAATTCCAAAAGTCTGTTGATGAGAGGATAATGATTTATTTTAGACAACAGAATACTATCCAGCATTGAAAATAAGTAAATGTTAACTACATTTTTCAACCTGGATAAATCTCACAACGTAAGTAAATGTTAGCCACATTTACATACAAAAATAAGTAAATGTTAGCTCTGTTTATCAGCCAGGATGACTCTCACAACATAATGGATATCTAAATACATACATATATACATATGTACATAGAAAAACAGAGAGTGAAATACCCATTGTGTAAAATTAAATGTGTCTAAATATTCCTATTTTTGAAATATATTAATATATAGATAGTATAAAATATATACACAAATATGTGAATAATAATAAGCCAAGTGATATGACCACTGATGTTGGTTATTTTGATATTTCATTGGGATTTCTAAATCTTTTAAATTTTAAAAAATAAATCACGTTATTTTAATCACTTTCTCTGCTTAATATCCACAGTACCAACCCTCTTCGTACTCTCATGCCACAAATATAAGCATTTCCCGTTTCTTTTTGCCAAGCTCTTCTCTTTTATGTTCTGTGGCAATAACATCTGCTCCCAGTGTGTCAGCTTTCAATTTTATGATAATATCTTTCAAATACACATCTCTAGTCTAAACCACTCCCTCACTAATTCTTCATTTTCAATTTCCTGTTGGGTACTACCAGCTGGGTGTCCTACTAGCAACTTGGAGTATTTTATTGCATGAAGATCAAACAAGGTTTAGCTAAAGCTCATTGAACATTACTACAATTAGCAAACAAGAACATGTAATCTTTGTTATGTGCATTGTCCTGTAGCTGTATTGATTTAGAGCCTTGTTCATAATCTCTACGTGTATTTATGAATCCTGTACCAAACTCCAAAATGGTGGGAAGGACCTCTTATAACTTAAAGAAATGGAATAAAATAAGTTCATGTTCCAAATGGCCTAAAACATTTTCATTAAATGTTTGTTTATTTGAAAGAATACAAACTATTTCTTTTTATATTATAGTATCCTAACTTGAATATCATCAAGCAGGGAGCAGCTGAACTTATTTGCATTCTTCTGGTCTCCCTGACTTTCTCTGTTTTTATCTTCAGTCTTTTAGAGTTGATCCCCAACAAAATAAAAACAAAAGCAAAATGCTTCACTTAATCTCGTTTCTCCAGCACGCTAATGCCCATCAATTTTCATCCTTGGATATCTTCTACGCTTACTGCTCTGCTTCCTCTGAAAATATTCAGTTCTTAACTGATTGAATTCTCATTTCTGACAATCAACTATGTATTATACTTTATCTGGTCCTTTAAATCTTTAATAATTTCTGAATTCAAAGTTCAATTGTTTCTTTTGAATGTATACTTTATTCAATCTCTTTATCGAATGTAATGCCAGTAACTATATATTTTTTAAAACACTTTTTTTTTACATTTTTTTCTTTTTTTTGTATTACTCTTTTATTCTGGAAACACTCCTGCTCTGTATATTTTTCTGTTTCTCTTATTTTGCCAGTTTCTAAAATACTGTGTCTCAGATAGACTTAAAATTTAGGGGGATTTTATTTTTTTTCTGGGATCTAATATTGAGTACTGTAATAAAAGTGCACTTTTGTTTTGAGGAGCCATGCATGAAGACAGACTTAATTGCAGACTATTTTAGACAGCTTAACATTTTGCATAAATATCAACATAAAAATTAACCCAAGACAGAGGAGAATGGAATATTGTGTGTCACACTAGAGTCCAATGCCTTCTGAGCATATTTTATTATTACTGTACATTGTTGTGGAAGTCTTCCTCTTTCCACTCTTTTTCCCTAGTCATCCTTCTGTAATAATGCTGTTTCTTGTAAGCTGCACCCCTCAACCCTTCCCTTGGAAGCTGCTATATCCATTAAGGAAAAATGGAATCCCGGTCTCTTGACAACCGTTGTTTTAGATAAAGTTTGGAAAGAGATAGATGATTTAAAGAAATAACTTTTTACTTTTTGTTAGAATTTTTAGGAACTATCTGGGGCTAGGGCAGTCTTTCCAGCCAAGGAAACGTTTTCAAAGTAATAGATGGTCTCAGGACAAAGATCAAAGAAATCCGGAATATTGCCAGTAAAACATGGCCTCTGGGAATCCAGGGTGTGGCAGAAAGGCCTTTGTTAAGACCTCAGAAAGATATAAAGCATTTTTTCAAATGCCTTCTAAGTTCAGCAAAAAATTCTCTAAGAATCTAAGTGCATGCCCCATTGACTCTCTTGGCTAGACAACAACGCTTCTAACTTCTTAAAAGCATAGTTGCACCATTTCTTTACAAGGGTCGAAAAGAAGAAGGCTTATCTTCAAGATAATTGTGGGTGTAGATTCTGTCTAATGGAATGAAATATAAACCAATAGATAAGAAATTAAGAGCTAAGGACAATCATTTTTAGGGATGGGGCCCTAATCAAGAAACTGGGAACACATGCCCAACTGTTTCAGAATGTGAAGGACTGGTGATTGAATGCTTGCTTCTCCCCTGCAAGTTTTGGGGTGTCTATTACAGTTATTGTACACCCAGATTACCATTGTATGTTAAATGTGTATGGGAAAGATTATCAGCCTCTTTTCTCCTAGAAACAAAAGAAATCATATTCAAGTAACTAAACCAAAGATGAACATCTCTACTGTGCTCTCTCTGAATTCCGGACCTGTGAATTCATGATAATAAAATATTTTTTGTTGTATGCCACTAAATTCTCAGCATGTTTGTTATGAAGCAGGTGTTAAAGGCACTTACATATCTTCTCTCCTATTTTCAGATTTCCTCCATAATCATAGATGAAGAGGACAGGAAAAGGGAGAAGAAATCATTTTCAAAGGAAAGAAAGACAAAAAGGTCTTACAACAGAATTCACTCAGCATTTCAAGACTTGCAAACAAGACCAGAAACAAATAAAAACCAATGAGGAAAAGAGTAAATAACATTTTTCTAGTGCATTTCAAATGTTGATGCTTTATATAACTCACTATTAATTAAAATAAAAGCCCTGAGATATAGACATTAAGTTCCCCCATTATAGACAAGGTAATGTAGGTTTGTAGAAGTGGCAAAACAAGGTTTCTAGTACAGACATATTTGACTATAAAGTTTTGACTATTTCACTTTATCAAAATATTAACATCCAGGCAGCAGCTTGCCAAAGACATCACTGAGTCTATGGGAATTCTGTGTCAGTAAGAAAACTGAACCTCCTACAAAAAAAAATCTCTTTCACCTGTCAACATGGAGAGGTAACCCTAGGGAGAAGTAACTTAAGGACAACAAACCTGAAACCTTCTGCACCATCAGAAATATGGTTCCCAGAGGACGTCACACACAGAGGGTAGAAGCCAGGAATAATGCAAAGCCTCTGATTTTATTCTTGAGGTAGCAAAGTTGGATTGCTCAGGTTCTTGTTATTGATTATCTCTTTATGCCTCAAATTTTAACTCAGTATTTATCAATGCCATACCATAGAGTCTATTGTCATAATTATATTTCACCAGGGATCAGTTCTAAGAATAATCATTCATTATCTTCCTTTTAATCATAAGATAATTAAAATTATTATTATACTATATTTTCTTATAATTGATGCAGGATTTTTGCTCCTTAGCTCAGCTAAAATCTGGGTTCTTGTCCCACTAACAGAAAAAGTTAGGCACGCAGAAACATTAAAAGATGAGGAGGCCGGGCACGGTGGCTCACGCCTGTAATCCCAGCACTTTGGGAGGCCCAGGCGGGTGGATCACGAGGTCAGGAGATCGAGACCATCCTGGCTAACATGGTGAAACCCTGTCTCTACTAAAAATACAAAAAAATTAGTCGGGCGTGAGCGGGCGCCTGTAGTCCCAGCTACTCAGGAGGCTGAGGCAGGAGAATGGTGTGAACCTGGGAGGCGGAGCTTGCAGTGAGCCGAGATCGCACCACTGCACTCCAGCCTGGGCGACAGAGCGAGACTCCATCTCAAAAAAAAAAAAAAAAAAAAAAGGTGAGGAGAGCAAAATTTATTAAAAGAAAGCTCTCAGTGAAAAAAAGGAGTCCTGCCAACAGGGTCTCACCTCCCAGATTGAATACCAGGTCACCACACACACGTGCCGAAGAGACCAGGCTCCTTCCTGGTGCACAAGGCACCATCTTCCCAGTGTCTCCACCCCACTCTCCCAGTGTGCAGGTGGGTCTCCCAGTGTTCAGGTGGGTCCCCCAGTTCGTTGTGGGTATGCCCAAACAAGGCCCTGGGTGGGTTCCCTCGTCTGTACAAAAGCATCTGATGCAAACACTTGTGAGGCGGGTCAGAGATTCTCCAGGGACCCTCCCCCTTAACTGCCTCCTACATACATCATTCTTCTCTCTAAAGAAGTACATCTAACTGCCATGAGAATAAGCATAGGGATAAGGACAAAGGCTGATCTTAGCTGCTTTCTGCTGACATGAGGTACTGTTTTGGGAAAATGGCAGTCAGATCTCCCTGAAAGGTCTCTCTAACGGTCCCCAACAAAAGGGACTATTTTCCGAGGCTCTGGTTGCATGACCATTTGGAATTTAATGGCCTGAAGGTGAGAAGAGACAAAATGGGTTATTAGAAAATAATGTATCAAAACAAAACAAGGAGGGGGGTTAGGACAGCTCATAAATTCCAAGCATTTTTACCAGTTTGCACAGGGAAAGGGAGGGCAAAACCCAACTGGTAAAAAAACACTTTATCCTTTTTCCAGCATGTCAGGCTTCTGGGTTTCCTTCCCCCAAGCCCTATCCTAAGCCAAAGAGTTTAAGGTTTGGGAAAATAAACTTTTCCCAGTTTGGAGGATGCATCCAAGGGAAGTGTCTTATGATACATAGACACAATTACCTATCATTGAAGAGAGGACAGAGGAGAAAAAAGGAAAAAAAAAGGCATATTTTTTCAAAGGAGTCCCAGGGTTTCAGGATGCATTTAAAATGGGTACAGATTGAAGTTCAATGGTTACCCATCTATATGGAGGCAAGCAGGCATCCCAAGTTCCCTTCCCTTCCTGGCAAATAGCCCAGGTAAGTGAGGGAGAGAAAGTGAGGCATCTCTTTCTTTCCTCCATCTTTATATCCCTGAGTCCCAGTGACTACATTAAGGTACTGACCATGGGTGTCAAAATGGCTTTCACCCATGTTAACGGGGGGGACCTAGGGGTTGGAAATATCTGCTTTTACCCACATACACCCTATCTCCCCTGTTGTCAGTAGTCTTCAAATTCCCTAGACCTCATTTATGCCATGGATACTAGCATGAACTTTATCCATGAAATGAGAAGCTTGGACTAATCAGCAGGAATTAGTCATGTTCACCCGCACTCTACCTTTTAACTCCCATTATCATCTGCCTCTGGATCCTGCAGATCCAGTTTTTGTTTCCCACCCCACCTTAGGGCTTTGACCCAAAGCTTAGAATGGAGTTTGGGACAAAAAATGTGTCTCAGGGGAAGTAGCATAGACTCCTTATCATAAGTCAAATGTTAAGGTGAAGCTGTGGAATAGAGTCCTCCTCCAACAAGGGAGAGAAAAGGATGTATCGTGACACAACCAGATAACTGGTGGCTATAGTTATGCTTGCTAAGATTTGGATGCATCGGGCTTGGCTTTGGTTAACTCCCTTGTTCTTATTTTCTCAAAAAGGAAACCTCCAGCTGATGGGCACCCTATTTATTCCCATCACCTGGCAGAATTTGCAGGATAGTTGTTCAGAACTAGAATATTGATCCCAGTTTTTACATTACCCATCCTTTTTGTTCCTTCTGAGCTGCAGTTGGAGATTGCTGGTTGGTTCACAGGAATAAGCGTGGCTAGTCTAAAATGCAGGCAAAATGTTAAAGACAGCTAATGAGCCTAGAATTTAAAGACAAATATATGAAAAGTTTTGAAACATAATTTCTCTCTCTCCAGGCCTCATTTTTGTTCAAAACAAATCATGATAGGACTGAGTAATTTTCAAAATAGACTTTAGTTTTTTAATTGACCTGATTACTTGCATAATGTGCAGCAAGGATAATCATTTTTACATAGGACTTTGCTTTGATGGAACTCTGTCCCACAAGGCATCTTAGGACTTTCTAAAACTAAGCTCAGCCATGGGTTTGCACCCTCAAATACCTATGAGGTGGGTAGGCTTCTCTCTTCTTGAAGTTCCAGGAGCATGGGGTTCCTGGGCCTGTTAGAAAGTGACATTCTTTACTTACCACAGGTTAGGAACCCTGTATGGGGACTTTGTAGACAAAGTATGAGGCCAGTTTTCCCAAGGGCCTTTTGTTGGCTGTACAAGTTGAGTTTGACTTCCTAAGGAGGATACTCTTCCAGTCAAAGCCTTTTTAAAACAACCAGTTTCTCCAATTGCATCCCATTGCAAAAGAAAATGGATTTTTTTTTGCACTGATGCAAACAATTATTTTGCCATGAGTTAAGAATATCCACAACTAGTTTCCAAATTTTGGAGAAGCCAGGAAGAGAGAGACAAGTATGCTCCAAATTTTGTTCACAGGAGTACACATTTCTCAATTATTAAAGGCTCTAAGTAGCTCAAAATTAGTTTCCTTGACTTTGAGAAATAAAACTAGGATCAGCAGTGTTCCAAGCAATAGTCAAAAAGATTACTTTAGTTTTCTATTAGTTCAGTTCTTTCAGTTAACTCTTGGTTTGCTTGATATTAGTGAACATTTTAGCCCTTCATGAGTCCTGTATGTTATTCCTTTATTACAATGTCACAGTCTCCAAAGTTATCAGAAACCTACATTTGAGAGCACCAGTCAAAGTTCTAAAGCTGACTATAAATCATCCTTTGAAGAGAATCAAAACAAGACAAGAATTGTCTGTGAATAACAAAATGTCCAGGGCAGTTACAGTCAAAAACATTATTTACAGAAAAATTTGGTTATCTCTGTGGTTTACAATAACTTATCATAATAACCTTAATTGTGATTGATAGCATATACTCAGACATTAGAATTTTAGAGATCCCATACAATTTTGGAACTTAATATTATGCCTTAAAATATAACTGAAAAAGATTAAACATAATTTTGGCAATCCCATGTTCCTAAACACATCAGATAATCCTGTTTACCTGTCTTCTGGATGCTCTACTGTCCCTCTGTATCATCCAAAAGCCAGGTTTTTGGATTGTCAGGAAAGACAATTTTGAAACTGAAGCTTGATTTTGGGAAACCTGTTAAATATTAGAGGTTTAAAATGATTGATGTTATGAAATAAAATTCCAGTTTACCATAAGTTGTTTATTTTGCCAGAATGATGACTCAGAAATTTTTTGAAAGAGCAAAAACCTTTTATAACCCTTTACAAATTTTGCTAAAGAACAGATTAGTGCCTTAAGAATACCTTGTTCTGCTTTTATTTCCATGCTCAATTTACAAAAAAAACCATATAACACTCTTTTGAATTCAGTCAATGTGTTCACACATTAAATTTCTTTTGCAAGATTAATTTTTACAATCTTTCTACAACTTGCTTGAACTTTTAGATTTATCTCATCTAATTCAAAACAATCCTTTAACCCCAGGCAAAAAATTTACATTTTGATGACATCTCTATTTTGCCAATAATCTTTAAGGCTGTTTTATTTCTCAAAGATAAAAGTCACATGAACCAAAATATACCACAACTTTTATCTTCTCTTTAAAAAATATTTGATCAAAGTGCTTATCCTTATTTAAGTCAATTAATTAGAGCACTTTTTTATAGACATCACACACATGACACATGTATAACTACACAGAAAGATAGAAGAAGATTCAGTAGCTGTAAGATTTTTGTGTTGCCAGTCTACTAATATGATTATTAGCCTTTGGGTGGAGCCCTTTATGAGCAAGGCTAGGAAAGCATGTAGTTTCCAGGGCCTAATAAACAGGTACAGCTGTAAGACAAAAACAGATTTTGTTTGTTTTTTTTGTTGTTGTTGTTATTTTGAGATGGAGTTTTGCTCTTGTTGCCGAGGCTGGAGTACAATGGTGCAGTCTCAGCTCACCACAGCCTGCACCTGTCGGGTTCAAGCAATTCTTCTGCCTCAGCCTCCCGAGTAGCTGGGATTACAGGGATGTGCCACCACACCCAGCTGATTTTGTATTTTTAGTAGAGACAAGAGTTTCTCCATGTTGGTCAGGCTGGTCTTGAACTCCCGATCTCAGGTGATCTGCCTGCCTCAGCCGCCCAAGAGGGATCTAACTGCCTTTAATTCCTGGGGCTACATGTGAAAAACACAGCTGTCTCCCAAAATGGAATTTGTGACACTTTTTCTGTCTTTCCCAAGGATTTCCAAGCCATCAGAAACTATCTTAGGGCCTCGTATGTATGCATTAAGTGTGGCAAGACAAAATGGAGAAAAATAATTTAGTTGAGAAAAATCCTTTTTCCAGCAAAACAAGATCCAAGAAGGGAAAAACATAAAGCCCTTTTAAATATACCTATAACTTGGATATCCACTTTTAATTAAGAAAATCCTTTTAAATCCTTTATTACCTGAATTTAGCTATGCAAAGTGGTCAATATTTCTGGCTTTTAAACTTTACTAGAGACTCAGACAGAAGAAAACACAAGGTGGTTCGTTGAGGGGAAGAGAATCTACAAATGGCAAACGTCACACAGATATCAAACCAGAAAGAACTCATTCACTAAGCCAGGATTGAACCCTGGCAGCCATTGTAAAATGGTAGAGGCTAAAACAAAGCACTTCCATGTGGTTACAGGTCACACTCTCAGGGATGTAAAACAAGATGAAGGCCTGCAGCAAAGTTTGCTACTGATTATACAGAAAGCCATGCAAAGCACACCAAATTGGCTATAGCTTAAGATCAACCTCACAAATTATTTTTCATAATGAAAACTTTACAAAAAATATAAACAGTGATACTTGTGGTCCTGGCCTAGTAAAACATCTTCTAAAAGGAAAAGAAGCCTCTTTCTTAATAGTTAATTTCTAACCTAGTGGAGAAAATTTAAAAAAAAATGAGAGTGCAGGACTCTATTAACAGCTGACAAGGTGGAGAAAAGGAAAAAAAAAAACTGCTTAAAGTGCAGAATTGGAAAGATGCCTGGGGGAGGATGTATGGGAGCAGTTTTCCCCATACTGTTCTGGTAGTGAGTAAGTCTCATAAATTCTGGTGATTTTATAAGAGGTTTCCTCTTTCACTTGGCTCTCATTCTCTCTTGTCTGCCGCCATGAAGATATGCTTTTCACCTTCTGCCATGATTGTGAGACCTCTCCAGCTACATGGAACTGTGAGTCCATTAAACCTCTCTTTCTTTATAAATTACCCAGTCTTGGGTATGTCTTTAACAGCAGCATGAAAATGATCTAATAGAGTAAATTGGCACTGCAGAGTGGGGAGCTGCTATAAGACACCTTAAAATGTGGAGGCAACTTTGGAACTGGGTAACATACAGGCAGAGGTTGGAAAAGTTTGGAGGTCTCAGAAGAATACAGAAAAACATGGAAAAGTTTAGAACTTCCTAGAGATTTTTTGAATGGCTTTGACCAAAATGCTGATAGTGATATGAACAATAAAATTCAGGCTGAGGTGGTCTCAGATGGAGATGACAAACCTATTGGGAAGTGCAGTAAAGGTGAGTCTTGCTATGTTTTAACAAAGAGACTGAAGGCATTTATCCCCTGCCCTAAAGATTATGGAATTTTGAACTGGAGCAAGATGATGTAGGGTTTTGGTGAAATAAATTTCTAAGCAGCAAAGCATTCAAGATATAACTTTGGTGCTGTCAAAAGCATTCACTTTTATAAGGGTAACAGAGCATAAAAATTCAGAAAATTCACAGCCTGACAATGCAATAGAAAAGAAAATTCCATTTTCTGAGAAGAAATTCAAGCTGGCTGCAGAAATTTGCGTAAGTAACAAGAAGCCAAATGTTAGTTGCCAAGACAATGGGGAAAATGTCTCCAGGGTATGCCAGAGACCTTTGGGGCAGTCCCTCCCATCACAGGCTCAGAGGCCTGGGAGGAAAAAGTGGTTTCCTGGGCCGGGCCCAGGACCCTCCTGCTGTGTGCAGCCTAGGAACTTGGTGCCCTATGTCCCAGCCACTCTAGCCATGGCTACAAAGGGCCAAGGTAAGGCTTGGTCCATGAATTCAGAGGGTGCAAGCCCCAAGCCTTGGCAGCTTCCATGTGGTGTTGAGCCTGTGGGTACACAGAAGTAAAAAATTGGGGTTTGGAACATCCACCTAGAGTTCAGAGGATGCATGGAACACCTAGATTTTCAAGCAGAAGTTTGCTAAAGGGACTGAGTCCTCATGGAGAACCTCTGCTAAGGCACTGCAGAAGGGAAATGTGGAGTTGAAGCTCCTATACAGAGTCCCTACTGGAGCACTACATAGTGGAGCTGTGAGAAGAGGGCCACTGTCCTCCAGAACCCAGAATGGTAGATCCACCAACAGCTTACACCATGAACCTGGAAAAGCCACAGACACTCAATGCCAGCCTATGAAAGCAGCAGAGATGGGAGCTGTATCCTGCAAAGCCATAGGGGCAGAGCTGCCCAAGGTCATGGGAGCCCACCTCTTGATCAGCACAGCTTGAATGTGAGACATGGAGTCAAAGGAGATCATTTGGAGCTTTAAGATTTGACTGCTCTGATCGATTTTGGACTTGTATGAGACCTGTAATCCCTTTGCTTTGGCCAATTTTATTCATTTGGAATGGCTATACTTACCCAATGTCTGTACCCCCATTGTATCTAGAAAGTAACTAACTTGCTTTTGATTTTACAGGCTCATAAGCGTGAGGGATTTGCCTTGTCTCAGATGAGGACTTTTGGACTTTTTAGATAATGGTGAAATGAGTTAAGAATTTGGGTGACTGTTGGGGTGGCATGATTGGTTTTGAAATGTGAGGATGTGACATTTTGGAAGGGCCAGGGGCAGAATGTCATGGTTTGGCTGTGTCCCCACCCAAATCTCATTTCAAATTGTACCTCCCACAATTCCCACATGTTGTGGGAGGTATCCAGTTGAAGATAATTGAATCATTGGGGTGGTTTTCCCCATACTGTTCTCATGGTAGTTAATAAGTGTCATGAGATGTGATGGTTTTTACAAGGTTTTTCCCCTTCTGCTTGGCTCTCATTCTCTCTTGCTTGCTGCCATGTAAGATGTGCCTTTTGCCATCCACCATGATTGTGAGGCCTCCCCAACCACATTAAACTGTGAGTCCATTAAACCTCTTTTTCTTTATAAATTACCCAGTCTCAGGTATATCTTTATCAGCAGTGTGAAAATGGACTAATACACATGCGGGCATGTTGAAAGGTGAGGAGGGCAAAATTTATTAAAAGATAGCATGCACTGAAAAAAAAGGAGTCCTACCAACAGGCTGCCACCTCACAGATTGAATACCAGGCCACCACATAAGCTGAAGAGACCAGGCTCCTCCCTGCTGCATGAGACACAAACTTCCCAGTGGCTCCACCTCATTCTCCCAGGGTATGAGCAGGCCCCCTAGTTCATTGAAGGCATTCCCAAACAAGGGCCTGGGCAGGTTCCCTTATTTGCACAAAAGCATTTCATGTAAACACTTGTGGGCTAGGTCGGAGCTTCTCTGGAGACTCTCCCTCATCTGCTTTCTGCATATATCATAATCATAATTATATTTCTTTTTATATAAAATATGAAACATTTTCAAAGAACATCAGTAGTGATATGTTTCTGTAGTGTATTTGTAGTGGTATGAAGCATTATGATAATAATATTCATAGACATGAATCCATTTTTTTGACTTAATAAAATAAATTGCTGTCTTCACTGATAAATATATTACTTTATTTTGAAATTTTTAAAAGTATAAAATGACTAGGGAAAATTAAACAAATTTTCTTTGAAAATACAACGAACCTGTAAGTTTTATAAATACCATTAAAATAACATGAAGATGTTTAAATGACTCCTTTATGTGCTCCCAGGCAGAGGCAAAAGACTGTATTGAGAGATGATTTGCCCAAATTTTTCTTACCTTTCTGTGGTACCTACTTTATCAAAGCTGTAAAAGAGGTTTTCTTCATTGATTTTTCACTGTTGTTGCAGGTTGAATCCACTGGGAAGAGTCTCTCAGCAAAGACTGCTGTACTTATTATTATGTTTATGTGGGAGCACTCCTGGCATCAGCTCTGGTTTGGAGCATGGGGAAGTGAGATTGGGCTAAATGAGAGTTCTAGTTCTTGTTCAGGCAGGCACCAATAACAGCCTCAGTTGACCCTACAGAAAGCTCAAGAGCTAAAACAGCTTATTAGAAGCATTCCAAGTACATTGCAATTAAAATAAGCCCTTTATCCTCTTGTATCTGTCTCTGTAGATGTGAGCCATCCCCAATATGATAATCCCATGTAAAGCATCTTGCTGAAGTTGAGGCAGTCTCTGAAGGCCAACTGAAAGTTATTTGCCAACTGTAAGCCCAGAAGATAAGGCAATGTGATTTTCTTCAAAGGGTGTGTAGTATGGTCTATTTCTATGCAAGAAAACTTATTTTACCTTGATGTAGAAGAAGAACTGAGAGAAGCGATTTGAATAAAGTAATAAAGATATCAAGATATAGAATCTGAGATAAAGGAATATTCTTCTAAACTTTTTAAATCTCTCTAAATGCACAGTAACTTACTCATGATGAAGACAGGTTCAGGCCCAAAAAATTATCTGGAATAATGAAAAGCAAATTTGTCATCTGGCTTTGCTTAGAAACATTCTGTGTGTCTTAGTTTCCCAATTTTAAATTAAAAATATATCTTTAATTTCCTTTTTTTTCAGGTGTTTCCAAATAGTTTGATTAGTTTTTTTAGGCAATAAATCTGATTCTGGAGCTATTATAAATTCCTAGACTTAAAAGAGATTTTATCATGCTGAGACTATTCACATTGAAATTATCACAGAAAAGTCAGCTGTAAGAGTTATATAAGTAGGACTACCATACAGAGCCTTAAATATAAAGCAACTGAAATAAGAGAATCTTTGAAACTGATTTAAGGGTATCCAAGCTGTCAATGGAGATATGACCTTTTTGTGCAGAGTGAATGACAGGTAATACTGATCTCAAATTTTAATGATATAATGACCCATAGTAATCAAAGCTCTTGTTACAAAGGATCTGAAATGATACACAGGGGTAATTCAAGAATGTGATAGCCTGCAGCATTTGACTTTAACAATCATCCCAGTGTATAATGATAATTTTAAAAATATATATTGCCCCATAGTCATTAAATGATCCTTTAAGTGAATGAAAATCCTCAATCAAAATCTTGATAGTCACCAGCTTTCTTATGAAATAATTGTATCGTATATGGTGTTAGTTAATGCTAATAAAAATTAATACCATTGAGTATTTTGAAAGTCGATAACATTTTCTTCTATTGTTAATGGGGGTTCAGGAGATATTCATTGAGACATCAAGGGGTTGGAAGATTACAACAAAGTTGATTGGAAGGGTCCACATACAACACATTTCTAAGAATAAGAAAGTTATTTAATTTTATTTTAAAAAGCCAGGTGAGCTTTTTTTTTCTTACATATCATAATTTAAGCTAACAAAAAATATGATAGGCCTGGAACAATAGCTCATATCTGTAATTCCAACACTTTAGGAAGCTGAGGTGGGCGGATCACAAGGTCAGGAGATCAAGAACATCCTGGCTAACACGGTGAAACCCCGTCTCTACTAAAAATCCAAAAAAAAAAAAAAAAAAAAAAAAAAAAAGCCGGGAGTGATGGCACATGCCTGTAGTCCCAGCTATTCAGGAGGCTGAGGCAGGAGAATTGCTTGAATCCGGGAGGCAGAGGTTGCAGTGAGCTGAGATCGCACCACTGCACTCCAGCCTGGGCAACAGAGTGAGACTCCATCTCAAAAAATATATATATATATTATATATATATATGATAAAATTATTATTGAGGCATCTTCGTGTGCATTTTGAATGTTTGAATTAACTTTATTTTATAGTTCTGGAGATGTCACTGTAATTATGTTCAATTACTGGTATGTATGTCTTGTATTTTCTAAGAAGTCACTGAAATAAGCACATTTATTGAGAATTTACAACACTTTACGTGTTTATATGACATGAAGAGGGGACAGCTACTCTATTAGTAGAAAAGCATTATTTCCTCCTCCCTTCAATATATAGTACCTAAAAAGAAATCAGTGGGAATTTTATTGAATAAGGCATTAGCTTAATGTAGACGCCTGAGTCTTAATTGCTGCTTGAACATTTGTTTTACATGTAAAGTTAAAGCTGAATTCCATATAAATTTGGAAGCAGAATTCCATGACAAACTTGGAGATGGCAGGCAGAAATGAGCTTCTGAATCTAGCTTAAACTTCAGTGCTCCTAATTATAATTCTAAACTAAACTATCAAATGAGAGTATGGAAATAGTTTAAAAAATAAATAAATTAGAAATCATGTGATAATATTTCACAAGGTTGTCATAATAGTTTATATAGAGGAGGTTAAAAACACTGTGGCCTATAAAATTTGACTGTGAGACAAACAGAATGTGAGACAAACAGACATTATAATGTAAAGGGTTCCTTATGTATAATGTGAAAAATTTGAAGTTTGAAATTAACTTCATTTCTAAATTTTTTTTTGGTAAATGTTTTTAAAGTACTAATATCATGCTAGATTATTGTTATTAGTGAATTTTTAATTTCTAAACATGCACAGGATAGGACAGAATAATAAACTGTCACACGCCCTTCAGAAAGGTTTAGTAGTTATTATTATTTTGCTATTCTTGTCTCATCATCTCGCACATATTCTCTCTCTCTCTTTCTTCCTCCCCATCTGTTGGCTGTTACAGTCTAGAGTATCTTAAAACGAATGCAACTCTAACCAGACAATTTTATTTTTTATATAAGCACCATTCAACTAGTACAGCAAAATTAGCAATACTTTCTTAATATAATCTATTGTTTCCAAGTTCCTTGATTGTCCTAAATATGAAATTTTAGAATTGTTTAGTAAAAATAAGTATTCCAACAATGTCTTCACATAGCATTTGATTGATATGTTTCATAATTCTTTTCAATCTATAACTATTATCTCATTACTCTCTCTTTTTTCCATTGTAACATATATGATGAAAGAGAAACCCCGTCATTTATCCTCTGAAATGTTTTATATTTTAGGCTGGGTACCATGGATCATGCCTGTGATCCCAGCACTTTGGGAAGCTGAGGAGGGCAATTTACTTAAACTCAATACTTGAAGACCAGCCTGGGAAGCATAGCAAAAACCCATATCTACAAAAAATAAAAACAATAAAAACTAAATTAGCTGGGCTGGTTGCACACACCTGTAATCCTAGCTTCTCAGGAGACTGAGGTGGGAGGATCACTTGAGCCTAGCAGTTCGAGGGCGCAATAAGATATGATGACACCTCTACACTATAGCCTGAGCAACAAAGTGAGACCTTGTCTCAAAAATAAATAAATAAAGCTTTGTCTATTTTTGGTTGAGTTGATTGCATCTTTGTACTATTTGTTCTGTTGCCTTATGTATTCCCTTTAAATCAATCATTTGATTCAGAGGTTTACTCACTTAGGTGTTATTTTGTACTTTAGTCACTTGTAGAAATAGTCACAGTCTTAGGGCAGTTACTTATCCAGAGGCATATAATGCCTAAGTGCCCTACTCTCATTGTAGCTTCTGTAGTTTGGTGAGAGGTAGGGAATGGCGCCCAGCAGGTTTTTCTTTTTCTCCCTTGTTGCAGGAGGTAGGGTTACAGTGCTACAGGATTCATTCAGTGCCACTTCATCAGCCAGAACTCTGTTTGGCTTCTGTGACCTCTGCCTGGGAACTTGCTTGGGCAAACCAGGCTCACTCCACCTGCTCAGCCTGTCAGGCTGCTCTCTGCTTGCACCATGGCCCAGATCTTGCACCCACTGTAGGATCTGTGCTCATCCCACAGCGGAACCAGGCATGCCACGAGTGGCTTCCATGTTGGGCACTGACATCTAGACAGTGATGTCACACTGGTGATTCCTGAAAACTCAGAGATGCCAGCCACCATGGAGCCCCAAGGGGTTTTACAGCTCTTTTCTGGGGAGTCCCGAGGTCTGAGCCCCCAAGAAATGTTACAGCTCTCTCTTATTCCTGTCTGCAGCTCAGTGAAAAGAGGCATGATACAGCTCATTCCTGTCACCTGAAACTTTGTGAGTCCCAGGTTCTTGTCCCATAACCAAGAGGACAAAGGTGTGTAGACATCAGAGAGTGAGTAGGGCACAGAATAATTTTATTCAGTGGCAGAAGGAAAGCTTTCAGTGGAGAGGGGACTTGAGAGCGGGTAGTCTTCTGTGTGACAGGGGGCCCAAAGCAGGTTGCAGTTTGTGAGGCTGAGTCTGGGGATTTTATGGGCTCAAACTGAGGGAGTGTATGCTGGTTGGTCCATGAGTGGACCTAAAGAAAGCATCTTTTGATGGGCTAAAAGACATCGAGGAAATTCTCACTCCGATCGAGGACTCCACCTGGAACTGGCAGCTCAGTTTTCAGGATTTGAACTGTCTTTCACTTGAAGGTTGGGTTTCACTGGGGACCCGCCCCTCTGCACCTAGGAATTTGTCTGTCTCCTGTAGCTATTACTCTTAATAGATGATCAGTGGCTTCCCATGTTATTTGATTCAATCCATCCATTGTAAAATTCCCCATCAATTTTTCACCTACTAATTTTTGTAGATATTGATGAATGTTTTCTAGACTGATTATTTATTTAGGAAATATAAACTAGTGAAGTTTGTGTTGCATAATTTTTCCACATCTTTTAGCTATAGCTGTTTTACAAAGTGGAAATTTCCTGAATTGGCACATTTGTTCAGTAAGATAAAATATATTCAGAAAATCTTGGATAAATAATTGGTACTCCTCCATCCTTTTAAATCAGTTTTCAGAGCAATGATTAATTGCCCAAGCAGTGGTATGACCAGTGAGATTACTGATTTTTTTTTTAGTTATTTTGAAATGGGGTCTCACTTTATTGCCTAGGATGGTCTCCAACTTTTAAGTTCAAGGGATCCTCCTGCACCAGCCTCTGGAGTGGCTAGAATTACAGGCAGTAAACACCATGCCTGGTGTGATGATTAACACTGAATGTCAACTTAATTGGATTAAAAGATGCAAAATATTGTTCCTGGGTGTGTCTGTGATGGTGTTGCCAAAGAAGATTAACATTTGAGTCAGTGGACTGGGAAAGGCAGACCCACCCTCAATCTGGGTAGGCACCATCTAATCAGCTGCCAGCGCAGCCAGAATATAAAGCAGGCTGGAGAAAGTTGGAAAGACTACACAGGTTTAATCTGTCAGCCTACATATTTCTCCTGTACTGTGTGCTTTCTGCCTTCAAACATCAGACTCCATGTTCTTTGGCTTTGTAACTTGAACTGGCTTCCTTGCTGCTCAGCCTGCAGATGGTCTATTGTGGGACCTCACCTTGTGATTGTGTGAGTTAATACACCTTAGTAAATTCCCCTTTATATATACATCTATCCTATTAGTTCTTTCCCTCTAGAGAACACTGAGTAATATGCCTGACAATATTTTAAAAATATTATTTTGACATTGTGCACTTTAGCAGTGATTGCCTTCCTGACCTTATCAATTAGCAAACTCCAACACAGTTACTCCTGTAATCCTCATTTTTCTCTTAATGGTAATTCCCTTAGGTTTCCCACTGGATTTAAGTGAAACATTATGTTTCACTGGGTTGTGAGAGTTTTGAGTGGTAAGAAACCATTGAGGAAGCTCAGATATATTTATGATTAGTTGTCTTCTGACTAACCAAAAGGCATTCTGAATGACTAAAGGACTACAGTCTTTAATCTTGGAGATCATCACCTAGATTAACAGATAGAATACTGCAAATACAGATACAAATACAGATTAGAAAAATGCAGTAGTAGCTAAAAATCTGTAGATATGTTGAATACTATTTGAAAGTGTTAATATAATCAATAACAAAATAAAATAAAATAATGTGAATGCTGGTGGACAATTTTTAAACTATAAATTCCTCTCATGTAGTAGTACATTGAATGGCATCATCTACATATATAGCAACTTTTAATTAACTCATGTAGAATGAATCTAAGATCAACTTACATGTTCTTTCCTTAAACATATATTGCTACTGAAATAAATCAAATGCTGAAAATCCAAATTAGTTTATTCTTCTATCTTTTAAATATATCTATATATACATATATATGGCTTATATTTGAATATCTCTAGAGTTTGCTCATAGAGCTTGAATGTGTTAGTATAATTCAGAAAACTAGAATAATTATCATTTGGAGCAACTAAAGGTTATAGGTAGGTTATAATTTATAGCATCTTGCTATCAAGACCATTCAAAACTCTCTTATCTTTCCTATGTTTGAATGCAAGATTTCCTATACCATAAATACCAAAGCATTAAAATACTTTACTCAGCATTTTATTTCCCTTATTCACATTTTAATGTTTATTTTGAAGTATGGATTTATTCTCTTTCCTCCATCCACACTGGTTAGCACTTTGTACACTCTTCTGTACTTCGTTAAAATATTCACGAACACTTCTTGCTTCCTCAGGGACCAAGTGCAGTGAGAAAGAGGACACTGTCATCAACTGAAAGCTACTAAAATATACACACATTACTATTGTTATTTCTTGCTGCATTTCATATTTTGACATTGAGAGCCCTTCTGGAAAAAATACTGAGATGCAAGAGGTATATCTGGATAACTTGAAAAGAAAATTATAACTTATTATATACTTGTACCAGTTCTATAATGAAAACAAAACAAAAGGAGCAACTTTAGGTAAGTGATGTTCCCAAAATCTGACCCTGTCTTTTACTATTAGGACATTTTAAAAAATATCCTGATATTTTTTAAAAGATTAAGAAATCTTTTCTTTGATTTAATAACAGATATGCAAGAAAAAGTTACTAATGCTACAGAGTATTTAAAAATAAATTAATCATTTCATCTGCACCTCAAAAAAATTCCTAAAGTCTCTTTTAACACTAAGGTTTTCTTTTCTTATTTATATTAGCTTTTGTGTATTAGAATTCTATCCACTCCAAATTACATTGAATGTGGCAAATCAATGTCAATATTGATCTGAAATCTTTCTCAAGTGACATATATCACCACACAATAAAAGGAATTATTTTTCTTCTGATAACACAGAAGGTTGGCCTGCTTATCTTTTAATCCTATCTCAAATTTTATTTCCTACTTTATTTCTTACAATATTTTTTTGTTAAGGACTATAAAAAATGTACTCACAACACTCTCTTTTCTTCCTTAACTTTGAAAATAAATGCATAATTTCCCATTGATGGGTATTCTTTCATTCTTGTGGTCATTCTAAATCATCCTGGTTAGAAAATGTACCTTAGACAAATGGATTTAATAATAGTTACAAAAGTTACTTTAGTACCTATTTTTGTATTAAATCAATGGCACATTACTATTATAACAAATTTTATATTTTTGAATCAGTATAGAATATAACATTTTTATATCTTGGGCTGGGAAATGCAATGCCACTTTCAGCATATACACAGAAAAAATGTGAAGAGTCACTTGCGCAAATGGAAATACACACATGCAGATACAAATTCATATCTAGCTGACGCTCTAGTTTTATATGAAGTTGATCTATTTTTGCTTTTAGCTTTCAGCACAAAATACTTACCTCATTACATATTGACCCTTGGCTTTTGTTCATACTGAAAATATTTTCAACTCATCTTTGAAGAATTTTGAAATCTCCTTTTATGAGTTTTCTTTAATGTTGCACAAAACAGAGTGCCAAGAATGTTAATGATATTGCTATATTTTCCATAATTGAAAAATGACAAATTATCATCTCTAAGGGCTGAGCTTGTGATCTATAATCAATCTACTTCATTGCTAAAAATGACAGTGGCAAACAATAGGCTTTGTTTTATTACCTAGTTCATTTTATTAACTTATCTTAAAATTAATATTGAGTAATATTTTTATAATGTTGTTAAGTGCTGAGATTTATTATTTCCTTTTATGTGGATAATTTAATGTAGTACACAATATATTATGTATGTGTAAGTTAATCAGCAGTGTTTATCTTCTTTAGCAATGTACTTATTAATCAAAAGTGAAAACAATTATTTATATTATATGAATTTTCTAATAAAACATTCAGAACAAAATTATTATTTAAGTTAGTTGAGGGATTACTAGAAGTTACAAAAAATAAAATCATTTGTTCTGAATGTACTTTTACTAAATTTTTGAAGAGGAAAAATTATTGGGGGAACCAGCCCCCAATATTTCAACATAGGTTCTTTTCTATTTTCCCTAAGTGTCGGCCAGTCTGAGAAATAAAGAGAAAGAGTACAAAAGAGAGAAATTGTACATCTGGGCCTCCGGGGGTGACATCACATATCGGCAGGTTCTGTGTTGCCCCCCTGAGCCACAAAAGCAGCACGTTTTTATTAGGGATTTCAAAAGGGGAGAGGGGTATGAATAGGGAGTGTGTCACAGAGATCACAAGCTTCAAATGGCAATAAAAGACCACAAGGGCAGGAGGGCAGAGCAAGGTCACAAGGCCAGGGTGAAATTAGAATTACTAATGAGATTCCATGTCCTGCTGTGCACACATTGTCATTGATAAACATCTTAACAGGAAACAGGGTTCAAGAGCAGAGAACTGGTCTGAATTCGCCAGGCTGGAATTTTCTAATCCTAGCAAGCCTGAGGGCACTGCAGGAGACCAGGGTATATTTCATCCCTTATCTTCAACCGCATAAGGCAGACACCCCCAGAGTGGCCATCCATAGGCCTCCCCTGGGAATGCTTCCCTTCCCAGGGTTATTCCTTACCAGGAAAAGAACTCAGCAATATTTCTCCTACTCGTTTTTTGCAATAAGAAAAATATGACTCTGTTCTGCCTCGCCCCACAGGCAGTCAGACCTTATGGTTATCTCCCTTGTTGCTTGAATGTGGCTGTTATCCTGTTCTTTTTCAGGGTGCCCAGATTTCATATTGTTCAAACATACGTATTTTACAAACAATTTGTGGAGTTAATGCAATCATCACAGGGTCCTGAGGCGACATACATCCTCAGTTTATGAAGATGATGGGATTAAGGGCTTAAAGAAGCATAAGAAATTATAAGAATATTGATTGGGGAAGTGATAAATGTCCATGAAATCTTCACAATTCATGTTCAGATTGCAGTAAAGACAGGCATAAGAAATTATAAAAGTATTAACTTGGGAAACTAATAAATGCCCATGAAATCTTCACAATTTATGTTCTTCTGCCATGGCTTCAGCCGGTCCCTCTGTTTGGGGTCCCTGACTTCCCACAACAAAAAATCACCTATAGGAGACACATTTTCAATGGCAATTAAGTGATATAACTACAAAGTGTTGATTTGGGATACAATTTAAAACCTTTAACTTATCTCTTAATAGAGTAGACCTATGAGGATGGATTGTTGTGAGACAGCTCACTCCAGCATGTCCCCTCTGGAGTCAGTGAGACACAGATCTAGCAGATGGTTACAACAGTGCTAGGTCCAACTCTAAATCAAACTCACAACTCTGTGAATGCTACCAAAATATACTGTTTAATACTTATGAAGAGTTGGACGAAAGCTAACCTGAGGTGATGCATATCTTGATGGCAGCTCGATTACATCCCAGGCAACTATGATTAGGTTAATTTGGCTAAAAAATGCATTCTCATTTTGAAGCTCTTACGTTTGATTATCAAGTTGAAGTTTCAACAATATTATATTGTTTTATTTTTGAGACAATTGTTTTCTATTAGATATTTCTATGTTATATAATTTGGAAACAACTTGTTATACAATCACATACATCACCATTATTGAAATATGAATATCAAAAAATTGATTTCCAAGTATATTTTACTTAAATTAATGAAATAGTAAAATACATTATCTAGACTACTAAACTAACATAATTAACTTTAAAAATTCTCATACAAATGTATAACAGATTCTATGTTTTATGGAAAATCTTTTAATTGTTGAATTTAGATTTTTATACATTTTATACTGATATATTTAAGTTGGTTAAGATTAAGTGGCTCATATCAGTAAACTAACAGCAAACACTTATTCTTATTGGTGTATACTGACTTATCACAAATATTTACACTGCTTTTATCAAAATAATTTCATTAAAAGGACTAAATAATATAATATGTAAAAATCAACTTTTACTACTATGCAATAGTTTGCCATAAATAATAAATTATAAAATGTAAAAACATCTTGTTCCAGACAATTTTTAATAAATTAAAATTAAATAGTGAAATGCAATTTTTTGATGTTTAAATTGGATTTTTTTTTTTTAAATGGAGTTTTGCTCTTATCGCCCAGGCTGGAGTGCACTGGCATGATCTCGGCTCACTGCAACCTCCACCTCCTGGGTTCAAGCTATTCTCCTACCTCAGCCTCCCGAGTAGCTGGGGTTACAGGTGCCTGCCACCATACCCAGTGAATTTTTTATATTTTTAGTAGAGACAGGGTTTTGACATGTCGGCCAGGCTGGTCTAGAACTCCTGACCTCAGGTAATCCAATACACTTTTGAACTTTGCAATCATTACTTCAAATAATACATAGAATTTTCTATCACTCCAGAAAGTTATCTCAGCTTCTTTCTAGTCACCTCCTCCCAATTCCTGGCAACATGCAACTGCTGATCTACTTTTAATTATGATAGATAAGTCATTGCTTGTTTTAGAATTGTATACAATGAAATCATGCAATATATACTCTCTTTTGGTTTGCCTTCTTTTGTTCAACATAATAAAATTGAGATTCCAAATATGTTTTTACTGTATCTGCAAACTTCTCCCCTTTTGTTACTGACTAATATTTTATTGTAGAGATATAACACAATTTGTTCATTATTTGATGGACATTTGGATGATTTCTAGTCTGGGGCAAATAATTATGAATGTATCAATTTATTGTAGGGTTTAAATTTTCATTTTTCTTGGTAAATATTATGTAATTGCTAGAACATAGATTAAATGAGTATTTTAATTTTTAAAATGTGCAAAATAGTATTCCAATATGTTTGTGCTATTTTACACTTCTATAACAATGAAGGTAAATTCCAGCTCCTCTGCATCTTGGCCCATATTATATATTGTCAGGCTATTTAATTTCAGCTATTTTAGTAGGTGTGAAAAGAAATTGTTTTGTAATTTGTCTTTCTCAAAGATTAATGATTTTGAGCATCTTTTCTTTTTTTTTTTTTTTTTTTTTTTTTTTTTTGGAGATGGAGTCTCACTCTGTCACTCAGGCTGGAGTGCAGTGGCACGATTTCAGCTCACTGCAACCTCCACCTCCCAGGTTCAAGCGATACTCCTGCCTCAGCCTCCTGAGTAGCTGGGACTACAGTCACATGCCACCATGCCCAGCTAAATTTTTTTGTATTTTAAGTTGAGACGGGTTTTCACCGTGTTAGCCAGGATGTTCTCGATCTCCTGACCTCGTGATCCGCCCTCCTTGGCTTCCCAAAGTGTTGGGATTACAGGCATGAGCCACTGCACCCGGCCTTGAGCATCTTTTCGAATGCCCTTTGTACATCGTTTTTTTTGTGTGTGTGTGAAATGTTTCTTCAAATCTTTTGCCTATATTTTACAGAACTTTAAAATTTATTATTGATTTGCATATATTTCTTATATAATCTGGACACAGATTTGTTATATATTTTCTACTAGTCTGAGGCTGCTTTTTTAAAAAAAATTTTGTTTGGGAATATGATATAACATAACATAATACAATAAGAGAGTGTAATCTAAATACAATACAATACACAGGTTTTATGTGTTCAGTTCGATGACGTCTGAGTATTGTATACATAGTATAACCAACACATAGGATGAGATAGTGTTTCCATTATCTAGAAAACAAGTGTCTCTTGTGCACTTTTCTAGTCCATTTGCATTTTCACACAGGTAGCCTCATTATGATTCCTATAATCATAGATTAAATTATACTGTCTTATAATTTTATATAAATAAAATTATATGATATATTGTTTTTAGTTCATCTTCTTTCACTCAACATATGTTGATGAATTTGTGATGAAACATTTTTTCTATATTCTTTGAGGGTGTGGTAAGTATAATGTACTAACAATTGTCAGAACTCAATAAACTAGACAGTTAAAATATAGTGAGTGGTATTGGTTTTGATATAAGAATAATAATGTTGAGATTTTCTTTTTAAAGTTTGATGTACTGAAATATGAAAAACAGTTTTGGGAGGCTAGGCAATTTATTAAATAGGAACTATAATAAAAATGATATATTTTATCAAAATAAGGAGAAGGCAATGTGGTTAATATCCTAGGAGAATATGAAAATTAACAATTGTGAAACCATAACTCTATACGTAGCTGAACTGTGATTTGACAATAAAGGCAATTTTAATACTCTTTTTAGATAAGTGAAAGCATAGTGTTTGTCACTTAAGAAACAGATATTTACATCAGGAAGAAGGAAAATTATTTCAGTTGAAATGTTGATAGAAATAATTGGTAAATGTGGCTTTATCTACAAAAATTATTGTTTAATTTTACAATAACCAATCTGAATGTAGAAAATAATTAAACTCTAAAACTTAGAACACATTTAGAATAGGCTCATATGAAATGGCATGTTTTCAAGCTTTCTAAGATTTTTGTACTATTGAGGAGAAGAAAGGAGATATTTCTTGGTGTTAACATCTCTTAGTATTTTTTTTTTTTTGAGAGGGAGTCTTGCTCTGTCTCCAGGCTGGAGTGCAGTGGCAAAATCTCAGCTCAGTACAACCTCTGACTCCAAGATTCAAGAGATTCTCCTGCCTCAGCCTCCCCAATAGCTGGGATTACAGGAGTGCACCACCAAGCCCTGCTAATTTTTGTATTTTTAGTAGAGATCTTGTTTCACCATATTGTCCAGGATGGTCTCGATCTCCTGACCTCGTGATCCACCCACCTTGGCCTCCCCAAGTGCTGGGATTACAGGCGTGAGCCGCCGCACCAGGCCAAAGTTTCTTAGTATTAAAAGTTAAGTTTTTTAGCAAAGGTTTAAGTATATTCATTATAAAATTTAAAATAAAGAATAATTTCTAAACTAATAAAAAAGAAAATACTGAAAGAACACCAATGATCCAAAAGAAGGCAGGAGAGTAGAACAAATGAAGCACAGAAAGAAACCATGTAAATCAAAAGTGCAAATTATAATAGTAGAAATAAATTCAAATATAGTTGTGGTTACAAGCAATGCACAGAAACAATTATCTCTACTTAAACAGTAGACATGATGAAATTAGGTTAAATATATACACTATAATTCTTTACAATGTATCTCAGGGCATGGAAAAGTCAACAGTAAATATATGGGAAAGTAACTAGGATAAATAATAATAAACAAAGCTTATGAAACTAAAAGAGAATGTCCTATTTCTATGTAGCTAGTGTATAAATCACTTATTTATAAGGAAAACAAATAGGAAACCAATAACCCCCCAAAAAACTCAAACAAAACAATCATATTACAAGAAATGTAAAACACAGCAGGTAAGCAAAATAAAATGATGAAAAAACAAATAAATAATATGAATCATATCAATGATAACAACTTATATCAGTATTTTACTTCTATTAAAATGGAAAGAAAATTAGGATGCATTGAAATGATTAATAATAAAAAATACAAATTATTTGCTACTCCCTAAAACATATCTAAAACAAATTGGCAAAGATGTTTTAAGGCATAAGAATGGGCAAATATGTAAAAAGAAAATAAGTAAAATTAAAGGTTGGACTCTATTAATTTAAGAAAAAGTATTAGGGCAAAAACCATTCAAGGTGACAGAAAACATCCTATTACATGGATACAAGATACTATGTACAATGAAAATATCATAGTCATAAAATTTTATGAACCAAGTAACAGAGCATAAAAGTATATTAGGCAGCAGTGTTAGAAAGTCAGAGATACATACAAACTACACAAATGTACTGGATTTTAACACATCATTATCTGTCCAAGAAATATCAAATAGTAAGAAAATAGAGCCATACAAAATTTGTACTATACATAACACCGAGATGTTATAGGAGACAAAGCTAAAGAACTGTGTTGTAAATTTCATTCTTTTCTTTTTTTCTTGCTTTTCTTTTCTTTTTGTTTTTTGTTTCCCCTTTTATTTGTTTGTTTGTTTTCTAAAGGCGTATATTCACTTACTTTAGAAGCATACTTTTGAGGATATGTGAGGTGGGAAATTAAAAATAAAGAGAATGACTTTTTAGTTACTCAAAATATTTTTTTCCATTCGTTGTAAATAAGACAATGGTGATACAGTTAAGCTTAACTTATATGCTTCACTACGCTATGCCATGCTAATATGTTTATTTATGAAGAAAATTTAATGTAACATTATCAAGACTATATCCTTCTAAAGTTAGAAATATCTTAGCTCCACAAAATAGGAAGTTAGGTGACAAATGCCTTAAAATTTTTGTTATTCTTATTGTGATATGTGTGGAGGTGTATTTTTTTTTCTAAAAGCTCTCTTAAATTGAGACAATGCCATAAAAGAAAAGCTATTTGTAAGTGCTCAAGTAAACTCATGTTTGCTTGTTTATTTATGTCTTTTTTCAGAATTATTTGGGAATGAATCTGTACAATTTTCTCTCTCTTTTTTTTTTTAGATGGAGTCTCACTCTGTTGCCCAAGCTGGAGTTCAGTGGCGCAATCTTGGCTCACTGCAACCTCTGCCTCCTGGGTTCAAGCCATTCTCCTGCCTCAGGCTCCTGAGTAGCTGGGATTACAGGCACTCACCACCAAGCCCAGCTAATTTTTGTATTTTTAGTAGCGATGGGTTTCACCATGTTGGTCAGGCTGGTCTCAAACTCCTGACCTCGTGATCCGCCCACCTTGGCCTCCCAAAGTGCTGGAATTAGAGGTGTGAGCCACCGCACCCGGCCTGAATCTATACAATTATTAATGTAAACTACAACAGCTTTTAAGAAGAGAATGTCTTATCACAGCTTGGCACACTTTTTGGCACTGTATTTTTTTTCCCCTTTTCGCTAAGATTAAATTCTTCTCTAACAGAAAAAAAATAACAATGGCTCAAGTCGAAAGTTTCATTTCTTTCTCATACATTAAAAATAGGTGGTTCAGGATGGGAGAGGGGATATGAAGTCATTAGGGATACTAGGTCTTTATGTTTTCTTATTTGGCCATCCTCCGTGAAGGAATCGGAGGAGGCTGCTGAATTGCAGCCTTTCTTTTATTCTTATTTGTTTTATTGTTCAGCTTTCTCTTTCTGGGCAAAAATCAGAAAATGCATATGAGACATTTTCCATTCTAATATCTGCTTGCTTAAAGTCTGAGCTCCAGAAAGGGATAAAGGACAAACAAAAACAAAACAAAACACCTTGCCCCTCCTGGAGTCCTGTGTTCTGGATGTGACCTAGAATGAACTGATCTTTAACTGAAGGGACATGGGCCTGATGGACAACTGAACATAGTGAACATGAATAAGTGATAGGTAGATTACTTAACAGATTTCCACAGTATAAGTTCCAAAGCCCTTTCTCAACCATTAGAGGCATCTCCAAAACTGTCTGAGATTGAATTATGTACCAGTTTGTTGTGTGAACACAAAATATCTGAGACAGGCAGGTCTCAATCAATTTAGAAAGTTTACTTTGCCAAGGGTAAGGATGCACCTATGACACAGACTCAGGAGGTTCTGACAACATGTGCCCAAGGTGGTCGGGGCACAGGTTAGTTTTATACATTTTAGGGAGACATAAGGCATCAGTCTGTGTGTTTAAGATGTACATTGGTCCGGAAAGGCAGGACAACTTGAAGCAAAAGAGGGTGCTTCCAGGTCACAGGAGACAAAGGTTGCATTCTTTTGAGTCTCTGATTACCCTTTCACTGAATACACAATTTACATGTGACAGGAGGGCAGAGGAGTAGTCACTTATGCCTCAGTCCGGCTTAGTGAAACAAAAGGGCAGAGGAAGCAATCAGATACGCATTTGTCTCAGGTGAACACAGGGCTGACTTCCAGTTCTCTCTGTCCTTTGTCTATGGGAAATTTTCTTGTGTGAAAATTGTGAGGCGGGTGTGTAGCTTTTTTATCTTTGCAGCAATCTTATTTAGAAATAAAATGGAGGCAGGTTTGCCAGATGCAGTATCAAGCTTGATATTTTCCCTTGGCTTAAGTTATTTTGGTCCTGAGATTATTTTTTACAGCTGACATAATTCAAAGATGTGTTGAATGTGTGTGTGTGTGTGTGTATGTATGTGTGTGTGTGTATATATAATATATAATACACATATATAACACAATAGTAATATACATAACATATAATATATGAACAGTACCTAATAGTAATATATAACATATATATTAAAATTTATATAACATACAAATATATGTTATGTTAATATATATGATATAATAATATATATTATTATGTTATAAATTTATATATTATATATCATATATGTATATATTTAAAATATAGAATATATTTAAATATATATAACATATTTATGTAATAATGTATAACTTCATAACATATAATACATATTAATGTAACATTACATATTAATATATTATATGTTAATATATATTTTATATATATTATGGACTGAATTATCTCCCTCCAAAATTCATGTGTTGAAGCTCTAACCCTTAATATGACTGTATTTTGTGATATAGCCTTAATAGAAGTAAGTAAGGTTAAATGAAGTCATAAGAAAGACACCATTATCTAATGGGAATGTGTCTTTACAAGAAGAAGAGACACCAAAGAGTTCTTTCCCGCTTGCCAAGTACACACAGAAAAAAGGTTATGTGAGGACACAGGAAGAAGGCAGTAGTCTGCAAACAAAAAACGGCTCTCACCAGAACTCAAATTTGCTAGCATTTCAATCACGGACTTCAGTGAACAATAAATAACTGAAAACAGATCTGTGTTGTCATTATAAAATGACAAGGAGTTATTTGTTTAAGACACTCAGTCCATAATATTTTGTTATGGAAGCCCAAGGCAACTAATACATATGAACATATGTATGAATAGTTGTGTGTATATACACACTCACATGTGTACACACAAATATTTATAACAAAACTATTTCATTGCATATAATATTATGCTTCCATTGTCCATTTCATACTTATATCATGAGATAACGTTCCATTAATATAGGTCTAACCTGAAATAATGTTCTATTAATGTAGGTCTAGTCATTGATTCCTCATGCAATTTTGTGGGTGATTTTTAGATATATTGAAGAGTTTTCTAGGTAAATAATTATTCCACCGGTTGACCACAAGTTCTAATCTCATAGACGCTTGTCTTCTAAATTTTTTTAAATTTTGATCTACTGCTAGATTTATAGAATAGTTGTAAAAATAGCTTAGGGAGTTTTAATACATCCTTCAATCTAACTCCTCCAGTGTTTATGCCTCACATGTCTGCAACCCGATTATCTTGTAACCAAAACTTTTATGAAAATTTGACATAAACAATGCATTTGTTGAATGCGTTAATGTTAACTCGGTTCTGTTTTACAGTAATAACAGTTGTGTATTAATAAATGCAATTTATTAATATATGTGTGCCTGTTAACTAGATTCTTACCTTTTTTCTATTTTTTCCTATTTTTTCTTGTTTATTCTGAAAAGTCTTGCCTATACTCTTGCTTTTGATACTGTAGACACTTTAATCAACAGACTGTTAGATCATAAACAATGAATTATGACCTCTTATGTGATCAAACAGCAGGAGAGAAAGAAACTCCTCAAATATGACAAATTTAACAATTAGCAATTTAGGGAAGGATGTAACCATAATACAGAACAGATAATTTAATTAATGCATTTTCAGAATGCATGTGTGAATTATTTGACTCAATTCAAACTAATATGAAATCTCAGAAAGCTGTGTCTACCTTATCTTTCTAAGCATTATCGGGCAGGAAAACACCAGAGATGATACCAGCTGTAGTCTACAGTCATCTGCAACATTCTTATTCTTACAGCTCATATTAGCTTTTTAAGTAATAGCACTGGAAGCGTCCACAAAACTGTAACCTCTGTATGATATCAAATTCATAAAAGAACTCCAGTGGCTTACCTTTCTCTACCATTTATATGTGAAAGACACAGAACTGCTCAATCAAGTCACCTTAATCTACTAAAGTTGTTAGAAGAGTAACTCCCATAGTTTTCTCTCTTTTCTATTAAACTTATTTGAAAACATAACCAATATTAAAGAAATAATGGCTAACAGTGAGACACGTCAATGTTCACAAGATAACAAAATTTGAAATCTATTATTTCATGTGGTAGAGTTCTTGTAATTATATATTTTATACTAATCCCTATCATGTGACCTGGGGTCCCCAACCCCCAGGCCACAGACTGGTAGTTGTTTGTGACCTGTTGGAAGCCAGGCTGCACAGCAGGAGGTGAGCAGTGGGCAAGCATTATCACCTGAGCTCTGTCTCCTGTCAGATCAGCAGTGCCATTACATTCTCATAGGAGGGCAAACCCTATTGTGAACTGCACATGCAAAGGATCTAGGTTGTGTGCTCCTTATGAAAATCTAATGCCTGATGATCTGAGGTGAAAGAGTTTCAATCCAAAATCATTGCCCACCCCCAACACCCATGCTGGTCCTATGGAAAAATTGTCTTCCATGAAACTGGTGTCAAAAAGGTTGGGGGACTGCTGATGTAAGTGACCAACCTGAAAAGTAATTGAGCTAAAGCCTCAACTTATTGGATAATATTTTATTATCTATGTGTTCTCCATGATATTTAAATGAACTCATAGCTTCATTAAATGTCTAAATTATATAGACTATGATTACATATCATTGCTAAATAAAAAATATTTTCTAATGTAAGCTTAATTTTTGTATTTTAAAGTCTACTCATATAGAAAAAGGATTATGAAATTTAAGTGTGAGATGCTTTAGATATTCTATTACTATCTACTTAACAAAATGTAGTATTATTAATTTAAATAATTCTGTGATTTCTTCTTTTCAAATTACTTCTGAATGACTTCACTGAATTTTTATGCTACATTCATATATGGCAGTCAGAAAATTGTCCTTTCCTTGTTAGCAGAAATGAAATATGCCATTTTGTAACTTTTAAAGGGCAGAAGGTAATAAACATATTTGAACTATTTGCAGCTTTAAATAGGTGAAACAAAGTATTATAGAATGTAAATCACTAAATATATAATACTTAAACTGAGAACTGTCAGTCCACAGACCTATTATATCACCATATGGAAGTGATATTTCCTTATAAAGTGATAAGATGATAATTAATACATGTGTTTTTCACATCAGAGTTTGACTGTCTATAAATGCAAGACAGAATGAGAAGTACATCAAACAGAATACAAAATAACCTGATCACTGAGGCAAAACATTTCTTTCTCTTTTCTTAAAATATGTGAAAAAAATGATGCCTTGTTACAGGCTTATATTCAGGTTTTTATTTTGAGTCCTCTTTAAATGACCCAAATACTACTACTCCATAACGTACAATGGAGTGATGTCAACTTTAATGGTAGAATAGACGCTAAACAGAATCTACCCTGTTCTGCTCTGTTACACACTCGAGAATCTGAATTTTCCACATGTACTCCTGGGATTCTGTGTCACAGTTGCCATAGGCAAATTTATGAAACTTTATGAAATATACATTTGCATAGTGGGGAGAAAAAAATAAGTAAAACAACATACATTCAAACCAAAAATTTATCTCAATTGTTCAACTCAGAGAGTGGTCTCAATCAATATGAATCATTAAAACCATACTGAATCTTCACATTTTAGCTGTTAAAACGACTGACTAGCATTGCCTTTCTGCAGCATATATTTTTAGTCACTTATAGCAATAGTCCCAGTCTCAGGGCGCTTATTGAAATTAGCAAATCTATAACACATTTGGAATAGTTTTGAAGGCAGTCTAATGAAACACACAGTGTACAATCAATACAAAACAGCAGGAACAGAGTTATACAGTGATTCTCAATCATACATTGTAATGCAAATTGTGAAGCTTGCTGTGTAATGCTTTCTATAAATCCTTACATTTCAGAAACTGTAGAAAATGGTAGGATTTTTTTTTCCTTGAAAAGAAGAGCAACTAAAATAGTATGCACTAACTTGAAAAAGAAAAGAATAAAATAATAAATGTACCTCTATAGTTTGGAAGTCATACTGTACAACAGGTTCATAGTAGATTTTTCTTTTAACAATTCTTTACTTCATTAAAAACAAATATTCATTTTCCCTTTACTTTATTTGTTCTTTTTCTCATTGCCAGTGTTATACATCTTTCCCTTAAATCTCCTGGCCTATGCCTCATAAGTGTCACTGACACCCAATAGGACCTTAAAGCCAAGGAGATATGAACTTTACTCTTCTTTTCACAAGAGCAGAAGCAACAAACAGAAGTCAGATTCCACCACAGCGTGCAAGATACTTTCCTGTACCCTTACCTAAATCAGTAAGGGTGATTGTGCCCTTCTCAGGGGATATTTTAAAATGTCTAAAGACATTTTTGTTACAACTTCAGGAGGAGGTGGTTACTAGCACATACAGTGAGTAGAGGACTGGGATGCTGGCCAGGCATCCTGTAATAAACAGGTCAGACCCACAGCAAGTGATTACCCATCCCAATATGACAATTGCCTAGAGATTAAGAAATTCTGCTTTATATGAGCATTGGTTTGCATGTATGTTTTTCTGGCACACAAATATATCTTTCATGAAATTTATTAAGATTTGATTTTTCTCTTCAACTTTAACTATGACAATTTCATATTTTCTCCTCTTTCTGATGTTGCCTTTATTTTCACTGTCTCTGGTAAACATTATTTTTGCTTGTTTGCTGTCAAGTGTTATTTCTGGGTGGGCTTTTTTTTTTTTTTGCTTCAAATAATTATATATTCACTAAACTTCTCTTTTTCTTTATATAGCTTATTATATTGCATTCCAAAACCTAAGTAGGACCTAGAAAGAAATATTTAAATTTAGGAATTCTACTATTGAGCACATGCCATGCATAGAGTATTTTCTGGATACAGATGTGTTGGATATAGGAAAATAGAAACAATCTCTCCTGCTTTCTTGGTCATTAAAAATTTGGAAGAAAGAATACCTTGCATAAATATTTTATATCCTTCATACTTTCAATTGAAGGAATTATCAACATATTTATAAATAGTGGCATATGTGTTTGTGTTTATCTGTAGGTATATGTACAAATATATGTATATACATACACAGGTATACACACATAATGCACATAATGACTGTAATTTTAATAGAGTACATCTCAGAATCATTTGAATATTACATGGAATTCATATAAAATTTTAATCTATTTTGATTTTTGTTTTGTAAATTAATTTTTTAACTAAACTATTTTATACTATATTTTATAATGAAGTATGCTTATGCCACTTGAGTTTTTATTTTAATGTAATTCAATTCAACAAAATTGTATTACACGTATTGCAAGTGTTACAAAATAAGAAAGCTGAAAATTTGGAAATGGTAACTGGGATTTATGAACTTGTAATTCAAAGGCAGGAGAGTTTACATTAATAATAAAGGTCATTATATGGCCAAGGAAAAAGGGTTGAAAAAAATGGAAAGGCAGAGCATTGGAAGAGTTGGTCAAGAAAGCAAGAGGCCAGGATTTTGAATGGATCACTCACAAAGATAAAATTTTGTCAAAATCTGGACTGTGAAGGAATTGCCAAGTTACTGAGGAATGATGGAGATTGACCAGAATGTTGCTAAGTGCAAAAATGAATGCGGCTATAGGACAAAATAGGCAAATTATATAAAGCTTGAGTAACAAGGACTTGCTTATTTATTTTTATGTGTTTAGTTATTTATTTTTAAATTTAAACCATGAAGGAACAATGTTTTCAGAAAAACATTGCTTAGGAAAATAAAGAGGAAAGTGATCTTTTCACTCATGTTACTGTATCAGTTACTGTATCAGTAACATGAGTGAAAAAGTATCAAAATTTGAAAAAGTATCAAAATTCCACTTGAGACAATTTCAAGAAAGCAATCTTATGAATTACCAACTTTAAGGCTAAGTGTTACAGGGAACAGTCCTAGAAGATTTTAAGGATGTTGAAGCAGCCTATTAACTGCCTTCCACTTCTAGGTAAAAGGGAATTGTGAGCATCAATCAAAAAGTCATATCTATTTCTACTTACATATTCAATTAAAATATGTTTGATTGTCTTGAAAAGTAATTTTAAATTACTGAGCGGTCTTTTGTAAAGCAAAGGCTATCTCTGATTTCCAGTTTTTCACTTGCCATTTTTATGGCAATAAGTGCTGAAACGCTCAATAAGAAAAGTATAAGAAAAAGAATCAAAACTCACATATCTCAGTGTGATAAATAAGGGTAAGTTTGTGTCAAAGAACAACAGACTTCTCTAAGACTTGTTGAGTAAAATTCATGAAGCCTCATTCCCTTTGTCCTTAAGTCAGTGAGGTCATTTTTGGCAAGGTCTGCCGCATTTATTTGCTGTCCATGTCAACAAAAAAAGCATCACAAATCTATGTTTCAATTTTGAGGTCATCTGAGCAAGAGTAACCTTCAACAATTTTCTTCAGGGTTTCCAAGTTTCTGCAGATTTCTGCCTGGAGATAAATTAAATAGGATAATTTGCATAGTTGCCTTTCCCAAGTAACTTTAATATAGAGTACAGAGTACTAGCTAGGCCAAAAGCAGAATCCATAATAATGACTTGCAGGATTTTGAATTCCAAATGCTTTTACTCACTCATACATTCCTAAAACTCTACCAAACAAGCCACATTATGGATTTACTCATTTTCAAATTATTCTAAAAGTGGCCTTTTCTTACATTTAAAAGCAGATCCTTCTGCTAGATTTTGAATGAATTATTTTATCACATGCTTTATTAAACATTATGTAGTTGGGAAACTTTGCATTTTTCTCTTCGATTTTTACAAGTCCACTTGAAAAGGCTCTAAGTTTTAGTTCATAGAGATATGATTTCATGGCATTAGGTTTAAAGTATATAGTATTTTTCCCTTCACAAAATCCATCAAAGCTCATCAGTTGTGAAGAATCAAAAAAGTCTCATAAGTTAATGAATTATCAAGAATTTGCTTTCAGTTGAGCTACTCTTTGACAAAAAAAAGGCCACCCACAATTTTATGTTGTTCCCATAATGTTAGTATATGTGTTTTGAATTTTGAGGTGACTATTGTAAAAATAGAGGTCATGTACTACCCTATATTACCATATATCACCCTAAATACTAGAAATCAGAAATTATCTGAAAAACCTAATTTGGAGTTCCAGGTTAACAAAATAAAGACTTACTTTTTTTTGTCCTTATGAAATTTTATTCTAGCTATTGTAAGAATACTATTTTTAAAACTTAAAACTACAATAATAGAGATTATAGGAGATACATGACAACAGCTACAAAAGTTTATCAGTTGGAAAGAGATAAATGAAAGCAGCTCTGAGGTAACTGAAACCTAAACTAGAGTGGACAAAGGTGAGAAAATACATGATTTCAACTAAAGATCCCTAAAGAGGATGAGGAACAGGTGTCTTTGAAATTAGCAATAAAGGATTGGTGGCTAAGATAACAGGGGTTGCTTGAAGGCTATTTGAGTCCATTAGATCTCTACATCACAAACAGCAAGCTGCTACAGAATTCCACCTTTCTCATCCCAGCTGAATTATGAAATTATATTCTCTGTTACCAATTACAGTTCAAGTATAGATATCAAGTATAGATACCTAAAGCTATTCTTCCTTTTAAATAAACATATCAGAATTATGTATCATGTTTAATTATGAGATCCACAATGGTGATTTACTATGTCTAAAAATAAACAATGAGACCAGAATGAAGTATCTTTGATGTTTTCATTCTACGATCATCAGCTACAATAAAACCAAAGAATATGTGCTTTCCAGTTTATTTATTTGTTAACATATTACATATTTCCATACTTGCAAACATAAATGCCTAAGCTTGAAAATTCTTTTTTAAACAATAACTTGACACATTCTCCAATGTCTACAAATGGTAATGCAGATGAAAACACAAAATTGCCAAAGTGTCTGAATAATCATACATTTGCAATCTGTATAGATGCCTGGCATTTGTGTAGGCTCAAGAAGAAAATACGGATAACAGGTATTAGTGCTTGCTTTGGAGAAAAAGAATTAGATGGCTTGAGTAAAAGAGTTAAAAGGATACAATGGAAACTTATTCTGCACTTTATTTTGTGCTTTCTTAACTTTGTATAACAACACATTACCTGTCTGAATGTAATTAAAGATATATATATAAATATATATTTTTATCTTTATATGTAATAATTATATATATTATATATAATTTAAATATATACATATTTCCCTCTATCAATAAATAGGTAACAGTGCATCAACCACTGGAAGAGAATAAATTTTTAAAATTCAACAAATATAAAATATTTCTTACAAATATTTTAAAAGGACAGGAAATCTTTGAAGAAAAAAATGTTCTTTTATATTTGAGACATGACTTTCTTCAAGTTTATTCATTAAATTTCTAACTTAATAATATCAAATTTTAGAGATTACAATTTTTTTAAACCATAAATTTGATAGGTATGGCTTAGTTCCACACTTCTTGTATTTTGTAGCAAGCGCATTAACATACGAGGCAATACATTTATTTTATGCATCCCCTTTTCCCTCTGAAATCTGAATAGAGAATGTATGTAGAGCATTAAGAGGCAAAATAATAGAGCTTATGAGCAAAACAAATATTAAATTACATGATGCTAGTTGCTAGATTTATCTATTAGGGATGTTTTAGCTGCAAGTTATTAAGCATCTGACTAGACTGTCTTAAAGAAATAGGACTCTTTAGGATTTATTAGGATGACAGGTCTACAGGTAGAAGCTTACTGGTTTGACAGTGCAATGGTATCAGAAACAACACACCTGTGATTCTTTCAGCATCAACTTCAGAGTTGTAAGATGGCTCAGACAGACTGAGCCATCACATAACTATCTAACAAAAAAGAGGAAGGAAAAGATATAAGAAAAATTCCAGGGAGCTTTGGGTTATGGTTCACTAATAATAATTAGAAAAAATGGGCATGCACATTGAGAGAGATAATAGTTAGGTAACATTCTCAACAATAGTGGCAAGCATAAGAAAATATAGGTTGAGTGTGCCATCTTGCTGTTTCTTATACACCATAAAGAGAGGCTACTACTTGATAAACTATTCCTTATCTTCGTGATGGGCATTGACCTTATTTTCTAGAATTTCTCAAATGGACTCAGACCTAAATAAATAAAGTAATATGTTTTGTTTGCAGAATTGGCCAGCACACCATCTTCCACTATCTTCTTCCATCTGACATTGGATGTTGACTCTAGAGTGACTCAGAAATCATGTAGTGAAGATGGTGAAGTCTCCTGGATCTTTGAATGTTTAGAAATACACTTTCTACTACCCATTAGAAACACATATTTTAGAATTAATGATAGAGAAAATTTTATGTATAAGCTACTCAAATTTTGAGACTTATTTCTTATAGCAGCTAACTTAATTAATATAGCATCTTAATTTTCTTTATCACTATAGCATTTAACAAAATTTATTTTAAAGAATCTATAAAGACTTCTCTCACAAATAAAAAAGTCAGTATAAGAGATGTTTATTTTTTCTTTTTTGTAATTTACCCATCCTCAATAAAATACTGAGCTATTGAAGTATTTTAATTTGAAAATTATACTACTAGTTGTGCATTTTACAATATTTACTATGGCCATGGTGTAAATTTGCTGTATGTAAGACTGCAGATGGAAGGATATTGTCAAAATAACTTGAGTAAAATGATGAGTTTCTAAAAGAAGAGATATACAGTGGGGAGGAAAAGAAGTTTATAGATAAAAAAAGTAGAATATTCAAAAATAAATTTGTGATTAAATTATTGGAAAGAAACATGGTTTCAAGAGTGTTGACCAAATTTCTAGTTAGGTAAACGTGTAGAGGTGGAGTCACTCACAAAAAGGGATCATGGGAGAAGAGGCATATTTGAGGAGACAATATATGCTCAGCTTTAGACATGTTAACTTTGAATTTCATGTCTGTGGCACATAAATGTATAATCATCCGGGTTATGGAACTTATTATAAAAATATAGATTTGAAAGACTCTGATGTTAATTGGGTACATAGGAATAAATAAAATAATAATGATATGAATGAGAAGGAAAACAAGATCATTCTTGAGGAAAACAAAAAGCAGTCATCTAAGAGGAAGACAGTGAAGGATCAAGAAATAGAAAACAAAGAAAAGAGAATTATAAGCAGTGTAGAATGATCAATGATACCATCTGCTGTTTAAAGCACATGCTAAAACCCAGTCTACTAGTGATTTTAGCATGACAATCCCTCCAGGTTTTGTGGGGTGATACAGGTCATGGTCAAGTTCGACGTATTGAGGTAGAAATGCTACATCAGAAAGAAGAGACAGTGTAAGTTCTCTGACAAGCAGCTACAGGAAGAATTCCTATAAAACATAGGATTCAAATTTTTTAAAGGAGATACTGAAACATATTAATGCTAGATTAAAAGATCACATAGAGGGAGTGAAAATACTGGTCAAAAAGGGAGAAATTGTAAGATTTATGTTTCTAAGACAGCTAGGGATGAAGAGATCCAGAGTGGTGGGATTACATTGACTGATTGTATGAAGAAAAATTTCTGTGATGGTTGTCAAAACCTGAGAATGATGACAGTAGATTTTGAAATTTAGGTAAAGTAGACCGAAAGACATTCTAAAACCAGGCACTGTGGTGTGCACCTGTAGTCCCAGCACTCGTTAGGCTGAGGCGGGAGGACTGCTTGAGCTCATGAGTTTGAGGCTGTAGTGTGCTACGATTGCACTTGTTAATAGGTACCACATTCCAGCCTGAGCAGCATAATGAGACCATTTCTCTAAAAATAAGAACAGATTCTTAATTGTATAGGGAAACAGAAAACTGGTAAATATTGAGGGCCAAACTGGGATCAGATAACTTGATACCAATTAAAGACATAAAATCTAAAGTTATAAGATATTTTCCATTTTTGTTTAGTAGCTTAAAACAGATACGGAAAAGACAGGCAGATAGACTGATCTAATGTTAGAATTTTGCCAGGCTTTGAAACACAGAATAATGGGCCAAGGAAGTAGTGACTTCAGTAAGGAAAAAGTTCTGGTGATTTATTTTGAAGTCTACATTAGATATATAAAGAAAGTTGTGTAATTGCAAATGACGAAGTTGGCAGCAAGTAAAATGTAATGAGTTGTTATCTGAAAATTTTAAAGTATGTAAGTTCTGGGCTATAAACAGTGGGGTGCTGGAGCAGATTAAGCATATCTCCTTCCAACTTATGTTCAATGCAAGAATCTATTACATGTAAATCTACAAATCAGAATTTTTTTGTTTGTTTTCTGAGAATTGGCTGTTAAACAGTTACGACACACAGCCAACTATAAATTCCAAGACATGTCTATGGAAATCGGATGGCTGGCTAACATGAGTAAATAAAGAGAGATGCTGAGTTATTACTTAGCTCATCCACATTACAATTTTAAATTCTTGATCATAATAGGAGGACTTAGTGTGAAAGAGTTCAGTGTCAATATTTTCAATAAATTACAATAAACAAATATTTGATAACTTAAATAAATATATGTAAATGAATTTACAGCCTACCATATTGTAAATAAAGGTCTGAAGCTGGATAGGGAGCAATAATGACTAGATGACTATATATAGAGAGAGACTATATATATGTAGAGTATTACGATTATAAAGAGAGTATTACATATATAAAGAAAGAGTATTAGGATTATATGGAGTGGTATTGTAAAGTGAGTATGACTGAACTCACGTATTGATACTGAGGTACATGGGATGTAGGTGAAAGGCAGTCCTGAGAAGGCACAGAGTAAAGAATATGCCAAAAGGAAAGGAGATTTAACTGGGAATAATAGATGGAGTAAGTATGCAGTAATGAGATCAACTACACATAACAATATTTATCTATCAGAGAATAAGCTTTACAGATGGTTAAGACAGGAATTTAGTCTGTGTGCTCATTTTCTTAGACGTGAAGTGGGGAAATGTGGGCCACAGAGAAGAAGCCAAGTCTATGTGGTAATGAGTGTATGAGATTATGAAGGTCAAGGGACTCTTACATTTTAGTGGTAACAGAAACCTAATTAAAGCATAGATGGAAAGTTTTTCAGAGGAATTAATCTCAAAAGCCCTAGTAGATGGAGATCTTAAGTGTCTCTAGAACCTTATTTAATTGTGTTTCTATAGCAATCTGCAAAGAGGTTGTTTGCTTCCTGAGCAATCTGTGCGCATTGAAAAGACAACTGTCTCTGATGATTGCAAGAAACACCGAGTTTTAGAAGAAGCCATCTGTGTCTTTAATTGATTTTATTCCCAAGGAAGTTATGACCTTTGTTATTTTTTTTAAAAAGCCAGCAATGAAACTAAGTCATTTTCCATCTCTGATTATTTGCTCTAAGAAATGTGGACAAGCTCTACCGGAAAAGTAAGATAAGCAATTCAAAGAGATCTATCTTGAGTAGTAACTACCTGCTAGAACAAACGTTTCATAATGTGTGGCCTCTGGTATTGCTTGTCTGCTCACAACCTCACAGTAGCCGCTTTTATTAACATTATATTGTTTTGCTCTGCACTTACACAGCCTACCCCTCAACTAAGAATTGAGGGAAACCCCCATACTGCTTTGCTGTGTCTCATTCTTCTTTTTTCTAAGTGCCCTATCTCCCAAATTCCAAATGCTTCAGCAGCCACGAATTCTGATCCATGCCTCCTTAGCTCAACAGAAGGGCAAAGTTTTGCTGTGGGAAATTGTTCACAGGCCATTGACTGAGGTAATCGTAGGGTTCATCTTATGAATTTACTTTCTTTTAGCAATTGCCATCTTAAAATGTCGGTTTCCCATGACTAAAAACTGTGCCTCATATATTTTGCTATTTTTGTAGTTGCTGCTAGTAGGAAACCTAGCATAATAATTATTCTGTCATGTCTGAAAAAAAGATGTTCTTTACATTTTGTCTACTCTTATACTATTCATTCCTAAAATGGAAAGATAAAATCTTGAATGATAATTATAAATTTTGTTTATTCAGTCCTGTACTTTGTCTGTTTTTATTTTATGTTTGAAAGTTCTATTAAGCATATCTTCTTATATGATTACTGTGTCTTTTGGAAAAAGTGGCACTTTAATAACTGTGAAATGACCCTCTTTATCTCTAGTATACCATTTGTCTTTAAATATGGTTTTTCTAATATAAATGTAGTCACATTTTCTTTTTTATAACTAGAGTTTCTATTACATACATTTTCCCTATCCTTTTACTTTTAAAGTATCAGTGTCTTTATATTTAAAATGGAGCTGTTGACGATATCACAGAGTTGGGTATTGCATATTTTAATCTACTCTGACAATCTTGCCATCTAATTTTGAATTGGGAGTAAATTTACATTTAATGTAACTATTAATATGATTAGATCTATTTATACTCCTATTATATATTTTTTACTTGTTTCCTGTATTCCTTGTTTTCTTGTATTTTCTATTACTTTTGGTTTGCATGATTTTAAAATTTTTGTTATTTTTTTCTCTTCTATTGGCATATAGTTATGTGACTTTATTATACTGTTTAAATGACTGCTTTTTGAATTAAAATTAAGAAGCAGAAAGAAAAGGCAGCAATAAAAGGAAAGTAGAATAAAAGTTTACCTAAATCAACTTTATTTCACATTTTATATAAAAGTTTTATTTTCAGCGGAAATATTTATACTCAAATCATATCCAGTCAAAGCCTGTATTTTTCTTCAGTTACAATTGTAATTAAAATGTTTATTCAGTATTGTTTAAGGATAAAGCATAATTGGGATAAGCCAGGTCTCTAAATCACAGAATTTACACTAAATAATTATTTAATCTTGGGCAAATTTTTTAACTTCACTTGGTATCAGTATCCTTATCTGTAAAATGAGGATAATGGTATTTGGTACATACCTCACTTATTTTAAGTTCTCTTTTCCTGATTATTTTGAATGACTAAGTTTTTAAAATCAGTAATTCAACTAATTCAGTATTTTTTTATCCTTTGTATGGACATACTACTATATTTCTTTGCCTCCCACCATCAGTTGGTTTTCTAGGAATCACTATATAAATGAACTTTTCCCAATCTAATTTGAATTAATATTATATCACTTTACCTATCATATGCATATCATTTCACTTATGAGAAACAGTAAGTACCTCTGTTGATACCCATCAATCTCTATTCTATCACTGTCTTGTACATCGATGTTAATTATAAATCTCAAAGCATATTTTATTATATTTTCATTAAATAACTCAATTTCTTGATTTAAATAAATCAAAAAAGAGAAAAATAGTTTTTACATATACACACGTATTTATTATTTTTGCCTTTCTTCTTCCTGTAAATCTGAATTTTCACTTGGAATAATTCTCTTCCAGTGGGAAGGGCTTTTCTAGTATGGCTTATCATGCAGGTCTGCTGACAACTGATTGTTTTTCTGAATCTGTAAATAATTTGAAACATATAAGTTAACAAGATATATTCACAACGATGCCAGGATGCTTACATTTAGTATGAAATAAATAGTATAATTTTTAAACCTTCACAAATAGACTATAGGAAATTATCAGGAATAGACAACGTAGGATATTACTAACTAATTTAGAAGGAGTTTATGCCAAGTTGATATCCTGAACACATAAATATTTATGAAATCAGTCATTTATTTGGGGCTACAGGATTTAGCTTTCTCTTGATCATGCCTAGTTATCTGTTATGTGTGTGACAATATGAAAATGTGCACAAGCTGCTTCTATTGATTTATTGTCCAATAAATAATTACTGTTCATCACTTATTGATTATATTCTTTCATAATCATTTCACTTATCTCCTATTTGTGGTATCAATGTCACTTTTAGAGCCCGAACAATTCACACATAAAAGCTAAAAGTCAGTTTTACAGACAATATTCAGTGTCACACACTCTGTCCTGGCTTGTCTATTTGCATATGACAAAAGAATGTATTACCAGCATTAACTCTTCTGAGTATATTGAGCAAATCTCACTAAAGAGGCAGTTGAGGCTATTTTAATTGGTCATGTGAGGTTTCAAATGGTCTCATGTCAGAAATACTTCATGACAAGAGCCAAGACATGGCACCTGGAGACAGAACACTCAGGATCCAGATTTCCAGGTGGAAAGGAGTCTAAGGAAGCACTTTCGGCAGCTATTCATATTTTTTTTATTCCTCTTGGTGTCCCTAGTTCTACTAGTGAAAATTACTGCTGGCACTTGTTTTAGCCAAAAAGAAAACAGGACAATGAAAAATACAGAAAAATAAAATAATAGATGTTTACTCAAATATTATTTCCTCAAGGAAAGAAGCTTCATCTTTCTCTCATGTTATCACAGCTATTAAAGTAGAAGGAATTATTGACAATATTCGATATGTCAGTTTCCCCAAATGTGTTTCTCAGAATGAAGAAGTTTAAAAAATATATCAATTTAGGTGTGGATAATGGCCTTTACGTGAAGCATGAAATAATTCTGTGTGTTCTGTCTACAGGGATTGCCAGAAATCACAGGAAGAGAAATAATCCTCCCAACAAGGGTTTCAGATGTATTAGTCTTCATTTTCTTTCAGAGTAACTAGCAAACATGAAAATAACTGGGAAATTTTAAAATGTCCCATGGGTGAAGTCAGAAGTAAAGATTTACTTTACCGGGATTTCTGTGAACACTGAGAGCAACTGATTCTCTTCTGTTCTTAAAATGACAGAGAGATTAAAAAGTGCGTGCCACAGTACAAAGGCTAAATTGGTTTTATTTTTATTAGCATTTAAACAGTTTTAAGAGATATTATAATATAAATCTGAATAATTATACACAATTATTTACAGCATAAATATAAATAATTATAAACTAGAGTCTATTTTTAACTATTAATAGATGCATAAAAGTATATAACATTTGACATAATATCATCATGTTTGTTTGCTTTCAAATAACATAAAATTACGATAAAAGTTACAGACAAAATTAAAAAGCAGTAAACTAAAAAGTTTTATTGCACACTTGTTTTTTTCCTATTGTGACTGTAAAGATTTTTCTTAATACTAACTGACCAAACAACAGGTCCTACAATTAAATCAAATTTGACCTCAATGTCACAAAAACACTCCTATTACTATACTATTTTATATTAAGTGGGTCCCTTTAGGAACTAAGATGTCTCCTACCACCTGAGTTCACCATAAAAAATAACTTATTCATTCTGTATGAAGTATATTTTGCCAAAATTATTAATATATAAACATATTAATAGATAGATGGATAGATATAATTGATTTGCCAAAATTCTCTCTTTAACCTGCTTGTGTCCTTGGAGCATCTTAGCTCTGTAGTTTGCTATCTGTCATTAATTTTGAAAAAATTTTACCTAATATTCCTTAAAATATTGCTTCTTTTTTAATCTTTCTTCTTTTTTTAGTATTTCAGTTATGGGTCTATAAAACCTTTAAAGTTATCTCATAGTTTATGGACATCCATCCATTCTGCTTTATTCTTTTCTCTCCTGTCAGATACAAGAAAAAGTTCTTCTTCAAGGTTTAGCTTGTTTAGTTTCCTTGTTCTTTGTTCTCTACTTTCAAGGCAAAATGTTCTTGCTCTTTGTGCCTCCCTGCCTTGGTTTCAGTAAAAAACCCTTCCATCGGTCCATATCTATGGAGTCCACATCTGCTACCCACTCTATAAATTACCCCACCTGTCACAATGTCCCTTCCCCCATGAAACTGTCCTTCTTGCCAATCTAACCACATTCCTGTGCTTTTCAAGTTAGCCAGCCGAGTTTAGCTTAAATTGTGCAGTTCAACTCCAGCCAATGGATGCAGGACACAGTAGCAGGGACAAGCTGCATTAGAAATAAAAACCCCTTCCCTCCTTTGTTTGGTGTGCTCTCGGAGTGACCAGATCTGTGAGAAGCACCCTTCTGCAGAAGTAAATTTGCCTTGCTGAGAAATCCTTCGTTTAAGTGCTTGTTTCCTTTGCGACTCCAAGCTTTATTTCCAACAACTTTGGGGATCCGCCTGGCAACCCATTCTCCTCTGAGGTGGGGTCTCTGATCATCTCTCATGAGGAGACACATCCCACTGCCTCGCTGTGATGGCCACAGGGGTAAGAGATCAAGACCCACCTGGCATGACGAATAAACCCAGACACTCAGCAACACAGGAAGAGAAGGCCCACAAATATAATGTGGCAACCAGGTAACTCTGTGCACAGACCAAGGTAAGAAAAGCCATGGGGACAGTGAGGTATTTCTTGATGAGGACCAAGGTAAGAAAAGCTACGGAGGTCATGAAGTATTTCTTGGTCAGGACATTCCAAGGCAACAAAAGCCTTGGGGGCAGTAAAGTGTTCCTTGGTTGGGACATCAAGATACCTCCAGTTGGGTGGGTTAAGCCTCTAAGACAAGGGAAGTAAAAAAATTCCTAATATGAGGGATTAAGCCTCAGCCAGTCTTTAGAGAAGAGAGGGCAAGAAATCCCTAATACGAAGGATTGAGCCTCAGCAGCCTTCAAAATAGAAAATACCCCAGGTAAATACCCCAGGAGATAAAAAGGGTCAAGAGGATAATAAAATTCCCCCTGACAGTCCCCTAGACCTCATGCTAAAATAAAGGAGGGATAATGAAAGGACTAAACATAAGAAAAAAAAACAGCAAATGATAAATGATAAAATATTGTTGTTTCATTTGGACCAAATGACCCATCCTCAAACCCTCAGTTTTCTGGCCAATGTTTTGGTCAAATGAAGATTGGATTTGCCAACTTTTTTTTATTTTTATTATACTTTAAGTTCTAGGGTGCATGTGCACAACGTGCAGGTTTGTTACATATGTATACATGTGCTGCGTTGGTTTGCTGCACCCATTAACTCATCATTTACATTAGGTTTTACCCCTAATGCTATACCTCCCCCAACCACCCACCCAATGACAGGCCCCCATGTGTGATGTTCCCCACCCTGTGTCCAAGTGTTCTCATTGTTCAGTTCCCACCTATAAGTGAGAACATGTGGTGTTTGGTTTTTGGTTTTTGTGATAGTTTGCTCAGAATGATGGTTTCCAACTTCATACATATAGCTATAAAGGACATGAACTCGTCCTTTTTTGTGGTTGCATAGTGTTCCTTGGTGTATATGTGGCACATTTTCTTAATCCAGGCTATCATTGATGGACATGGTTGGTTCCAAGTCTCTGCTATTGTGAATAGTGCTGCAATAAACATACGTGTGCATGTGTCTTTATAGTAGCATGATTTATAATCCTTCGGGTATATACCCAGTAATGGGAATGCTGGGTCAAATGGTATTTCTAGTTCTACATCCTTGAGGAATTTCCACACTGTCTTCCACAATGGTTGAACTAGTTTACACTCTCACCAACAGTGTAAAACCGTTCCTATTTCTCCACATCCTCTCCAGCATCTGCAGTTTCCTGACTTTTTAACGATCGCCATTCTAACTGGTGTGAGATGGTATCTCATTGTGGTTTTGATTTACATTTCTCTGATGATCAGTGATGATGAGCATTCTTTCCTGTGTCTGTTGACTGCATAAATATCTTCTTTTGAGAAGTGTCTGTTCATATCTTTTGCCCACTTTTTGATGGGGTTGTTTTTTTCTTGTAAATTTGTTTAAGTTCTTTATAGATTCTAGACATTAGACCTTTGTCAAATGGGTAGATTGCAAAAATTTTCTCCCATTCTGTAGGTTGCCTGTTCACTCTGATGGTAGTTTCTTTTGCTGTGCAGAAGCTCTTTAGTTTAATTAGATCCCATTTGTCTATTTTGGCTTTTGTTGCCCTTGCTTTTGGTGTTTTAGTCATGAAGTCCTTGTCCATGTCTATGTCCTGAATGGTATTGCCCAGGTTTTCTTCTAGGATTTTTATGGTTTTATGTCTAACATTTAAGTCTTCAATCCATCTTGAATTAATTTTTGTATAAGGTGTAAGGAAGGGATCCAGTTTCAGCTTTCTACATATGACTAGCCAGTTTTCCCAGCACCATTTATTAAATAGGGAATCGTTTCCCCATTTCTTGTTTTTGTCAGATTTGTCAAAGATCAGATGGTTGTAGATGTGTGGTGTTGTTTCTCAGGGCTATGTTCTGTTCCATTGGTCTACATCTCTGTTTTGGTACCAGTACCATGCTGTTTTGGTTATTGCAGCCTTGTAGTATAGTTTGAAGTCAGGTAGTGTGATGCCTCCAGCTTTGTTCTTTTGGCTTAGGATTGTCTTGGCAATGCTGACACTTTATTCTTCCCATATGAACTTTAAAGTAGTTTTTTCCAATTCTGTGAAGAAAGTCATTGGTAGCTTGATGGGGATGGCATTGAATCTATAAATTACCTTGGGCAGTATGGCCATTTTCACGATATTGATTCTTCCTATCCATGAGCATGGAATGTTCTTCCATTTGTTTGTGTCCCCTTTTATTTCGTTGAGCAGTGGTTTGTAGCTCTCCTTGAAGAAGTCCTTCACATCGCTTGTAAGTTGCATTCCTAGGTATTTTATTCTCTTTGAAGCAATTGTGAATGGGAGTTCACTCATGATTTGGCTCTCTGTTTGTCTGTTATTGGTGTATAAGAATGCTTGTGGTTTTTGCACATTGATTTTGTATCCTGAGACTTTGCTGAAGCTGCTTATCAGCTTAAGGAAATTTTGGGTTGAGATGATGGTGTTTTCTAAATATACAATCATGTCTTTTGCAAACAGGGGCAACTTGACTTCCTCTTTTCCTAATTGAATACCCTTTATTTCTTTCTCTTGCCTGATTGCCCTGGTCAGAACTTCCAATACTATGTTGAATAGGAGTGGTGAGAGAGGGTATCCCTGTCTTGTGCCAGTTTTCAAAGGGAATCCTTCCAGCTTTTGCTCATTCAGTATGACACTGGCTGTGGGTTTGTCATAAATAGCTTTTATTATTTTGAGATACGTTCCACCAATACCTAGTTTATTGAGAGTTTTTAGCATGAGGGGCTCTTGAATCATTTTGAAGGTTTTTTCTGCATCTACTGAGATAATCATGTGGTTTTTGTCTTTGGTTCTGTTTATGTGATGGATTATGTTTATTGATTTGCACACATTGCATCCCAGGGATAAAGCCAACTTGATCTTGGTGGATAAGCTTTTTGATGTGCTGCTGGATACAGTTTGCCAGTATTTTATTGAGGATTTTTACATCAATGTTCATCAGAGGTATTGGTCTAAAATTCTTTTTTTGTTGCCTCTGCCAGGCTTTGGTATTAGGATGATGCTGGCCTCATAAAATGAGTTAAGGAGGATTCCCTCTTTTTCTTTTTATTTATTTATTTATTTATTTTTATTGATCATTTTTGGGTGTTTCTCACAGAGGGGGATTTGGCAGGGTCATAGGACAATAGTGGAGGGAGGGTCAGCAGATAAACAAGTGAACAAAGGTCTCTGGTTTTCCTATGCAGAGGACCCTGAGGCCTTCCGCAGTGTTTGTGTCCCTGGGTACTTGAGATTAGGGAGTGGTGATGACTCTTCAGGAGCATGCTGCCTTCAAGCATCTGTTTAACAAAGCACATCTTGCACCACCCTTAATCCATTTAACCCTGAGTGGACACAGCACATGTTTCAGAGATCACAGGGTTGGGGTTGGGATTCCCTCTTTTTCTATTGATTGGAATAGTTTCAGAAGCAATGGCACCAGCTTTTCTTTGTACCTCTGGTAGAATTCGGCTGTGAATCCATCTGGCCCTGGAGTTTTTTTGCTTGGTAGTCTATTAATTATTGCCCCAATTTCAGAGCCTGTTATTGGTCTTCAAATTCAACTTCTTCCTGGTTTAGTCGTCAGCGGGTGTATGTGCACAGGAATTTATCCATTTCTTCTAGATTTTCTAGTTTATTTGAGTAGAGGAGTTTACAGTATTCTCTGGTGGTAGTTTGTATTTCTGTGGGATCGGAGATAATATCCCCTTTATCATTTTTTATTTTGTCTATTTGATTCTTCTCTTTTTCTGCTTTATTAGTCTTGCTAGCAGTCTATCAATTTTGTTGATCTTTTCAAAAAATCAGCTCCTGGATTCATTGATTTTTGGAAGGGTTTTTTGTGTCTCTATCTCCTTCAGTTCTGCTCTAATCTTAGTTATTTCTTGCCTTGTGCTAGCTTTTGAATTTGTTTGCTCTTGCTTCTCTAGTTCGTTTAATTGTGATGTTAGGGTGTCAATTTTAGATCTTTCCTGCTTTCTTTTGTGGGCATTTAGTGCTATAAATTTCCCTCTACACACTGCTTTAAATGTGTCCCAGAGATTCTGGTACGTTGTTTCTTTGTTCTCATTGGTTTCAAATAACATCTTTATTTCTGCCTTCATTTTGTTATTTACCCAGTAGTCATTCAGGAGTAGGATGTTCAGTTTCCATGTAGTTGTGCGGTTTTGAGTGAGTTTCTTAATCCTAGTTCTAATCTGATTGCACTGTGGTCTGAGAGACAGCTTGTTGTGATTTCTGTTCTACATTTGATGAGGAGTGCTTTACTTCCAACTACGTGGTCAATTTTGGAATAAGTGCAATGTGGTGCTGAGAAGATTGTATATTTTGTTGATTTGGGGTGGAGAGTTCTGTAGATGTCTATTAGGTCTGGTTGGTGCAGAGCTCAGTTCAAGTCCTGGATATCCTTGTTAATCTTATGTCTCGTTGATCTGTCTAATAGTGACATGGGGTGTTAAAGTCTCCCACTATTATTGTGTGGGAGTCTAAGTCTCTTTATATGTCTCTAAGGATTTGCTTTATGAATTTGTATGCTCCTGTATTTGGTGCATATATATTTAGGATAGTTAGCTCTTCTTGTTGAATTGATCCCTTTACCATTATGTAATGGCCTTCTTTGACTCTTGATGTTTTTTGGTTTAAAGTCTGTTTTACCTCTGCTTTTTTTTCCCTTTCCATTTGCTTGGTAGATCTTACTCTATCCCTTTGTTTTGAGCCTATGTGTGTCTCTGCACGTGAGGTGGGTCTCCTGAATACTGATGGGTCTTGACTCTTTATCAGATTTGCCAGTCTGTGGCTTTTAATTGCGGCATTTAGCCCAGTTACATTTAAGGTTAATATTGTTATGTGTGAATTTGATCCTGTCATTATGATGTTAGCTGGTTATTTTGCACATTAGTTGATGTAGTTTCTTCCTAGCATCGATGGTCTTTACAATTTGGTATGTTTTTGCAGTGGCTGGTACTGGTTGTTCCTTTCGATGTTTAGCACTTCCTTCAGGAGCTCTTATAAGGCAGGCCTGGTGGTGACAAAATCTCTCAGCATTTGCTTGTCTGTAAAGGATTTTATTTCTCCTTCACTTATGAAGCTTAGTTTGGCTGGATATGAAATTCTGGGTTGAAAATTCTTTTCTTTAAGAATGTTGAATATTGGCTCCCACTCTTTTCTGGCTTGTAGAGTTTTTGCTGAGTGATCAGCTGTTAGTCTGATGAGCTGCCCTTTGTGGGTAACCCAACCTTTCTCTCTGGCTGCCCTTAGCATTTTTTCCTTCATTTCAACTTTGCTGAATCTGATAATTATGTGTCTTGGGGCTGCTCTTCTCGAAGAGTATGTTTGTGGTGCTCTCTCTATTTCCTGAATTTGAATGTTGGCATGCCTTGCTAGGTTGGGTAAGTTCTCCTGGACAATATCCTTAAGAGTGTTTTCCAGCTTGGTTCCATTCTCCCCATCACTTTCAGGTACACCAATCCAACGTAGATTTGGTCTTTTCACATAGTCCCATATTTGTTGGAGGCTTTGTTCATTTCTTTTTACTCTTTTTTCTCTAAACTTCTCTTCTCACTTCATTTCATTAATTTGATCTTCAATCACTGATACCCTTTCTTCCACTTGATTGAATCAGCTACTGAAGCTTGTGCATGCATCATGTAGTTCTCGTGCCATGGTTTTCAGCTCCATCAGGTCATTTAAGGTCTTCTCTACACTGTTTATTCTAGTTAGCCATTTGTCTAATCTTTTTTCAAGGTTTTTAGCTTCCTTGCGATGGGTTTGAACATCCTCCTTTAGCTCTGAGAAGTTTGTTGTTACTGACTTTCTGAAGGCTTCTTCTCTCAACACCTCAAAGTTATTCTCCTTCCTGCTTTGTTCCATTTCTGGCAAGGAGCTGCAATCCTTTGGAGGAGAATGGGTGCTCTGGTGTTTAGAATTTTCAGCTTTTCTGCTCTGCTTTCTCCCCATCTTTATTGTTTTATCTACCTTTGGTCTTTGATGATGGTGACCTACAGATGGTGTTTTGGTGTGGATGTCCTTTTTATCGATGTTGATGCTATTCCTTTCTGTTTGTTAGTTTTCCTTCTAACAGTCAGGTCCCTCAGCTGCAGGTCTGTTGGAGTTTGCTGGAGGTCCACTCCAGACCCTATTTGCCTGGGTATCACCAGCACAGGCTGCAGAGCAGCAAATATTGCAGAACAGCAAATATTGCTGCCTGATCCTTCCTCTGAAACTTCATCTCAGAGGGACATTCAGCTGTATGAGGTGTCAGTCGGCCCCTACTGGGACATGTCTCCCAGTTAGGCTACACGGGGGGTCAGGGACCGACTTGAGGGGGCAGTCTGTCCATTCTCGGAGCTCAAACACCATGCTGGGAGAACCACTGCTCTCTTCAGAGCTGTCTGACAGGGATGTTTAAGTCTGCAGAAGTTTCTGCTGCCTTTTGTTCAGCTATGCCCTGCCCTCAGACATGCAGTCTACAGAGGCAGGCGGGCCTCACTGAGCTGTGGTGGGCTCCACCCAGTTCGAGCTTCCCGGCCACTTTGTTTACCTACTCAAGCCTCAGCAATGGTGGACGCCCCTCCCCAAGCCACGCCTGCAGCCTCCCAGTTCGATCTTGGACTAGCAGTGAGCAAGGCACCGTGGGCGTGGGACCTTCTGAGCCAGGCGCAGGATGTAATCTCCTGGTGTGCCATATGTTAAGACCTTTGGAAAAGCAAGGTGTTTAGGTAGCAGTGTCCCGATTTTCCTGGTATAGTCTTCAAGGCTTCCCTTAGCTAGGAAAGGGAAGTCCCCCGACCCCTTGCGCTTTCCAGGTATGGCGATGCCCCGCCCTGCTTCAGCTCACCCTCCATGGGCTGCACCCACTTTCTGACCAGTCCCAATGAGATGAACCAGGTACCTCAGTTGGAAATGCAGAAACCACCTGTCTTCTGTGTTGATCACACTGGGAGCTGCAGACCGGAGCTGTTCCTGTTTGGCCATCTTGGAACGGAAGCCCTCGGATTTTTCAACTTTTAATAGAGTATGTCAATGACAAAAGTCCCATCTCCCAGGAGGAAACAGATGATGTCCTGTGTTGGTGGCAAGGACCTGTCCTCCTTTATCCCCTAAAGGCTATAGGGGGCAAGCCAGAAACCAACTCCTCTGAAAGGAGTGAGATTTCTACCCCCAAACAGCCCACTAACATCTAGAACCCAGTAGACCACCTGCCTCCGCCAAATCCCCTGCCCCAAGCAGACACACTGGAATCCCCTCACTCAGTTCCTCTAACATATAACCCTGAATCAATGCCCCATGCTTCCCCTAGCCACAGGCTTGAGCATGTGCCTCCCCCAGGAAAGCTCCAGTGTGAGATAGAACAATGTAAAAAGGATATCCAAAACTTCCCTTTCCCCTTCACCTCTAAGGAATCAGCCCCAACCCTCTCCCCCTTAAGGGAAGTGCCCCTTAGAGGAGGAGGTATTGGCTGTGTAAAATACACCCTTAACCAGCTCAGGAGTCCAAAATTTAAAGAAACAACTCAAGCCATTGTTAGGTAACCATTATGGGGTAGCAGATCAAATTAATCCATTTTGGGGGCCACAACTGTATATTTGGGCCGAGTTAATATCCATCCTGGGCATCCTCTTTTCAGAGGAAGAAAGAAGCATGATTCGCGGGGCCAATATTGTAGTCTGGAAATGTGAACATCCTCCTGGTCAAAATGTTCCTGCAACAGATAAAAAATTCCCAGCCCAAGACCCCCAGTGGGACAATAAAGCAGCTCAACAGAAAAATATGAAAGACCTTAGGGAAATGATAATTAACAAGATTCAGAAGTCAGTTCCCCTGACCCAAAACCTGCCTGGAGTATTCGATATACAACAAAGGAAAGATGAAGGACCCATAGAATTCTAAGATAGACTTAAAAAAAAATGAGAAAATATGTGGGCCTAGATATAGAAGATCGTCCAGGGCAAGGAATGTTAAAGCTTCATTTTGTTACTGATAGTTGACCAGACATCTCAAAAAATTGCAAAAGAGAGAAAATTGAAAAAAATAAATCCATAGAACTTCTAAGGGAAGCTCAAAAAGTATATATAAGAAGGGATGAGAAAAAACAAAAAAAAAGCAAAAATTATGCTCTCTACTTTCCAAGAGGGGGTCACAGAAAATAGAGACCACTGATACTACTCTCCATCACCCAAAGGCCCACATGCATCTAAACAAAGTATCCCAGGGCCCAGGACTGATAAAAAATTTAAGCCCCCACTTGCCGGGCCATACAAAGAGCATAAGAAGGCAGCGCCAGGGAACCCAAAAATAGGAAGAGTGGAAGGACAAAATAAATGTTTCAAATGTGGAGGAGTAGGTCATTTTAAGAGTGAATATTCTGAATGAGAGAAAAAGAAAGAAATCATTCCACTTATGACCTCTGAAGAAGAATAGGGAGGTCTTGTCTCAACTACATCAAGAAACCAATTGGGGACCCCAAGCTATGTGTGACGCAGTTTCCAGAGCTTATAGGTGTATAGGAATCTATACCCTAGCCAAACAGGTTACAAACAGTTGCTTGATATGTAAGAATACTAATAAGCAAAGTTTAAAAAAATCACCCCTCTGGGGAAGGGATCCAGGCCTAAGGCCATTCCAAAGTGTTCAAATTGACTACACTAAAATGCCCCCAATTGGTCACCTGAAGTACTTATTGGTAATAGTAGACCACTTTACTCACTGGGTAAAAGCTATCCCCTTCTCAAGTGCAACCGCCAGTATTGGAGCTAAGGCATTAATTAAAAAATCATACCCAGGTTTTGAGTAACAGAAAACAGTAATTCAGAGAATGGAACTCATTTCACAGCACATGTGATTAAAAAGTTAGCTCGGGTGCTTGACATAAAATGGGAATACCATATCCCTTGGCATCCCTCTTCCTCAGGAAAAGTAGAAAAAAATGAACGACGCTCTAAAAAGCCACCTAACAAAATTAGTCCTAGAGACCCATTTGCCCTGGATTAAATGTCATCGTATTGCCTTGTTAAAAATCAAAACCACCCCTAGAAAAGATATCATCTTGTTCCCTTATGAAGTGATATATGGGCTGCCTTATTTACATCTACCACTGATGCTCCTACATTTGAAACAAAAGATCAGTCCCTCAAAAATTATATACTCGATCTATCTTCCACTTTCTCTTAAGTCCAAAAGTCTCCTAGCACAGGTGCCACCCCTGGAGATCACGTCCTTATCAAAGGGTAAAAAGAAGAAAAACTCGAACTAGCTTGGGAAGGACCTTACCTAGTGCTCCTGACCACTGAAAGCACAGTCTGAACAGTAGAGAAAGGATGGACTCATCATATCTGAGTCAAGAAAGCGTCACCACCTACAGAATAACGGGCCATCATTCCAGGGGAAAGCTCTACCAAACTAAAGCTAAGAAAAACCTAACCCTCTTATATCTACTATATTATTCTGTCACCTTTTCTCACTTTACAGCTAGTCACCTGATTATTAATGTAACTAGATCAAGCCTACTTCAAGTTATCACTTTTGATGCTTGTCTCATTCTGCCCTGTGGGGATCTCCAAAACCAAAGAAAGCTATCCTCTATTGACAAGTATCTCTGCCCCTCTAGAATAAATAAAACTGCCTATAATAGTGACACTTGTACCAGAATTGCATGAAGCGCTGAGTGAAGGTTCTGTTATGGTTGGGGAGATGTAATCTGGACCACCAAATATCAGGGCTGGACCTCTCCAAGAAGAGGCTGCATTCATCGAAAACCCTAAATCCACTTTACCAAAAGAGTAACTCCCTCTAATTGTCAGCTTCATCAGTGTAATCCTCTGCAAATCTCCAACACTGTCCCCACCTCCACCAACACTAACCCCACTCTAAGTCACTTCTATGGCCTAAGAGCTAATTTTCAATCCGGGACAGACCCAATAGGATCTTTTAAAATAAGCTTCATTGATCCTCCACCCCCTTTCCTTTCTCCTTCCCCAGAACCTTCTCTTGATCAAACGGCTATTATTTCCAATAACAAAACCTTAGTCAACATTGTAGAAATTAGAGATTTAGAACAAACTTTATCAATGGAAACATGATATGAAGATACAAATGCCTGGTTGGAATGGATTAAATATTCTATTCACAAATTAAATAAAAGTGACTGTTATGCTTGTACAGCAGGCAGGCCAGAAGCTCAAATAGTCCCTTTCCCACTTGGACGGTCCTCTGACCAATTGGGCATGAGCTGCATGGTAAGTCTCTTTCAAAACCTCATATCCTGGGGTAGTAAGGTGTGCAAGACTCTCACTACTATTTCCTGAAGTCAAAGGCTCTGCCGGCCAGCCCCTGATAGCCATCAAGCCCACAGCCTCGGATGTTAATTTTACCTCATGTCTCTCATGACAGGGGGGAGAAATTGTCATCTCTCAGAGACCTAAAAGAGTGAAATGAAACTAAGACTTTGCAGTCTAGCTGCCCTTGTTCACTCCCGAGCAGATGTATGGTGGTATGGTGGAGTTCTATGCTAAATAATTGGAGCAGCACTTACGCTCTAGTCCAATTGACCATCTCTTTCACCCTGGCATTCCTATTCTCACAGTAAGCAAGAAAATCACCACTGAGTTAGAAGAAGCACCCCACCCAGATCACTTAACACTCACATTTACATAGATGCTATTGGAGTCCCATGAGAGGTCCAAATGAATTTAAAGCTCAAAATCCAATAGCTACAGGGTTTGAGTCCATGTTGTTCAGGTGATCAACAATAAATAAAAATGTAGATTGGACAAATTACATATATTACAATCAACAACAATTTGTTAATTATACCAAGGATGCTATTAAAGGAATCACTGAACAATTAAAACCCATCAGTCAAATGGCTTAGGAAAATAAAATAGCATTAAACATGATACTAGCAAAAAAAAGGTGGAGTCTGTGTTATGATCAAAATCGAATGTTGTATATTTATCCCCAACAACACAGCTCCAATGGAACAATTACCAAAAACTTTACAAGGTCTCACCTCACTATCAAATAAACTGGCCAAAAATTCTAGGACAAATGACCCCTTCACAAGTTATATGGAAAGGTGGTTTGGTAAATGGAAAGGGCTCATGTCCTCAATCCTAACCTCTCTTGCAATTGTCATAGGTGTACTTATTCTCATAGGATGTGCTATCATAACCTGTGCCTGGAGATTAATACAAAAACTTATTAAAACAGCTCTCACCAAAAACTCCCTCAATTCCCCCTTCCCTATTCAAATGAACATTTTCTTTTAAAAGGCCAAGCAAAACAACAAAGTCAAGAAGTGTTAAAAAGGTTTGAAGAGGAAGACTTATAAAAATTAAAAAGGGGGGAGTTTTCAGATACAAGAAAAAGTTCCTCTTCAAAGGTTTAGCTTGTTTAGTTTCCTTGTTCTTTGTTCTCTACTTTCAAGGCCAAACTTCCTTGCTCTTTGTGCCTCCCTGTCTTGGTTTCAGTAAACAACTCTCCCATCAGTCCTTATCTACAGAGCCCACATCTGCTAACCACTCTATAAATTACCTCTCCCATCACAACAGCCCTTCCTGCCAAAACTGTCCTTCTCTCCAGTGTAACCACATTCCTGCACTTTTCAAGTTAGCCACCCAGGTTCAGCTTAAATTGTGTGGTCCAACTCCAGCCAAAGGAGACAGGACACGCTGGCAGGGACAAGCTGCTTTAGAAATAAAAACCCCTTCCCTCCTTTGTTCAGTGTGCTCTCAGGACAACCAGACTTGTGAGAAGCACCCTTCTGCAGAAGTAAATTTGCCTTGCTGAGAAATTATTTGTTTAAGTGTCCATTTTCTTTGCAACTCCAAGCTTTATTTCCAACATCTCTCTTTGCATTTCAATTTGGGAAGATTCTATTGACATATCTTCAAGCATAGTGTTTTTTCCTCATGTCATTCTACCAGAGAGCAAATCAAAGGTGTTTTCATTTCTGTTACTTTTAATTTATAGCATTTCCTTTTGATTCTTCTTTAAAATTTCTGTTTCTCTGCTAAAATCATGAATTTCTTCTTGTATTTTTTCTACTTTTCCCATTACTGTCATAATATTAAACATGGTTATTTGAAACTCCCTGTCTGATCATTCCAAAATCCATGTTATATCTAAATCTAATGATGATGCTTATTTTGTCCATTAAGGTTGTGTTTTGTTTCCCTTTTCTTTTTAGCAAATTTGTAATTTTGTTTTTGTTTAAAGGTATATATGGTGTATGGTCTGACAGTATTACATAAATATGGTTTATATCAGTTACTATTGTTTGGGACAGAAGGCAGGAAAATTCTAGACAGGAAAAAGTGGGGTACCTGGCAAAGCCCACGCTCAAGCCTAGAACTGTAGCACAAATTGAGGACATGTATTCCTGTTTTCCTGCTCCAATGGTTGCCTTTTCAAAAACCACCCATGTTCCTCCCTGCCCCCCATGCTGTATCCATAAAAAACCCAGGCTCCACTGTCAGAGAGTAGAGATGGGGAGAAGAGAAGAACCAGCTGAACATCAAAGAGAAACAGCCTGACTTCGGAGGGACAGCTTGATGGCAGGACTTTGGAGAAGAGTCGGCCAGAGACAGCTGAACTTCAGGGGAAGGATACCTTCCCACTCCATCTCCTTTCCAGCTGAGAGTCACTTTCATTGGCAATAAAGTCTTCATATTTACTATCGTTCAATTCATTCACATGACCTGAGTTTTCCTGAACCCCAAACAAAAGATTGGTTGCCATGGGTGCAGATGCTAAAGGCTGTCACACTGACCCTCTTTCCTCACCAATGAAGAGCAACCACCTCACATGAAAAGGCAGAGGACCCAGTGAGCTGTTTAACACTTAAGCCATCTGCGGACAGCAAAGCTAAAAGAATGCACTGTAGCATTTGCCTTCTAGGACTTTGAGGATCATGGGTACTCCCTGCCTAGATGCTACCATGGAGCCTGTATGGAATTTTGCTCCTGCTGATGCCCAGAAGCCCTTGCCCCAGCTCCTGCATCCACTCATCTGCTTGCTTCCCCTCCCGTGAAGGCTTGAGAGCTGCAGGCTGAGCAAGTGAGGCACCCTTGTGGCGAGGCCCACGAAGGGGTCAGGGAAAATTTCCTGTGTCACTGTTACATCATATGTAATAGTAACTGACATAAATAGGCCTTTGTTGTGATGTTTGTTGTTAGATTGGCTAGTTGTTGCTCTGCGTTCAATATTTGCTGTAGCTTTAGGTGCCAGAGGCTTCAAGTGCTTTTGTTGCTATCCCTCTTTTTAAATCTTCATATAATCATTGGGCTTCCTTAAGGCTCCCCCTCAAATAGAGGTGGCACCTTGCAGCTTTTTCAGCTGTAATCCACTGTTGTTATGACGTAATGATGATGGTGCAGTGGTAATGTGTGCAGAAAGATAAGTATTGTATAATCTTATAATTAAATTTCTGTTTTTTAGTGAGCCTGTATCCCTGGGCTGTGACCTTCACAAATGATTCCTCTTTTAAGTAAGAGAGGAAGGCTAGAAGGGTCTGGAATGAGGGAAATGCCTTTATTCCAGGTAAGATAAAGACTTTTATCCTGGAGCATAGGCTTCGTTACCGGAGAGTTATCTGGTAACGCATTTAACAAGGGTTACTCCTCCCTTCCCCTGAAAGAGCCATGAGGGGAACTCTCTTGGCTCTTCACCTTGAAAACCCTAGGGAAATTCCTGGAGAAAAAATTCGTGAATGTCTAAGGCCCCTTCAAACTGTGACCATAGCAGTTTCTTACTGTCAAGCAAGTCCATACTTAGTTTCCAAAAATGTATCAGTATTTCTATTTAAAAGTTCTACCAGTTTATAGTTAAGTAATTTCTGCTCCAGGGAAGCAAATCTCAGCTGTGACTATCTAGATTTGTCTCTCCCTCCAAATTTCCGGATGGCAGTTTGCTCTGCAAACTCAGCTCTCTGAGGAGTCCAGGAAAAGTGATCAATTTTCAGATCGCTTAGCTTTATAATGGGAGTGATGATTTCCAAACTCTTTGCATATCAGACCTAAAAGAAGAATCTATTCCATAAACATTACAAATTCTCCTGCAAAAATGTCAATATTTGAACTTATAGTAGCTAAATAGAAAGAGACAGACAAAAAGAAGGAACATAGGAAGTAAATACAATTTTTTTTAACTTATAGTTTAAACAGAACAAAATTTGATAGAGATATGTATGGATGATTAAATAATTATAGTACAAGAAGGTTATGAATGTATACTGAGTAATAAAATAGGCAGAGTTTTATTTAAAATATCATCTCAGTTTGCATATGACATAAACTTGTATATAGGAAATCATTAAAAATTCAAGAAACTTTGACATTGAGGCTGAGTTTTTTTAACAAATACTGGCAGAAGATATTAATGGCATAGAGAATCAAAACAGAATGTATACCGTTTATAAAACTGTTTTCTTTTAATCTGGAAAGAAACGTGTAGCATAACACCAATGCAAAATTTGAATAAGTCCTGGGCTTGAAGTCACTCAAGAGCTTGAATCCAAACCCACCACTTAAGTACTTGTATGACTTTTCACTTTTCTAAGTCACAGTTTTCTTATGTATAAAACAAGAATAACAGCTTGCATCTCATTCTGTGGCTGTAAGGAAATAAATTGGTTAAATCATTTCTTTAAATGCACCAGTAAATATTATCAGTGGTTCAATAAATGTTCAATACATTTTCTTCCTTTACTTTTCATTGTCTGATGGGAGTATTCACATCTCTTTTTCAAATATTGCTCTTCACATCCAATGCTACAGTGGTAGTCTTATCATCAAATGGAGTTCTGACCCTTGAATGAGCAGTGTGTTAAAATCTATTTGCCTGGAATTTTGAGAATGAATGTCATTTATATAAAAACTAATTGAAGATGGAGTTTGAAATAGAAAACATTCAATCAAAATTAAACCTTTTAGTGGAAAATATGTATAATAATTATAGGTGTTATTAAATTTGACTATGATATATTAACCTGGTTTTATATTACTTCCTTCAACAATTATCACCACTTTCAATGTCCTGGGCACTTGGTGAAAGGGATAAGATAGTGAAGAAAAAAATAAACTGGAGCCCTGAACTTTAGTTCTAATGAGGCTAATGGTAAATTTAAGTATCTAAAAAAATTCATAATGTTAAAAAATGTAGTTTTATTAAATCTCCTTTCTTAAACACTTTTTAAAACAGTCTGTACATGTCATTAAGATGGTAAATGTAAAGTATGTAAAATATTACATAGAACATAATAATTTGTCAACTACATTTTTTTCTTGACTAGAAAACTTCTGATTCATTTTGGCAACTAAAATGAGGTAATTGGCTTTAAAAAGCTTTGTGGGTTTATTTGTTTTGATTTTTCTTGCTATTTTGGTTTTAGGGTGTGTGTGTGTGTGTGTGTGTGTGTGTGTCTGTATGCACAGTATGGTGAACATTGTGGTGGGTTTTAAACTTATTTTTCAGTTCACCACCTAAGCTGAAGTTTTTAAAATCTTCTCTGGACTTGTCTATAGTAACTCTATTAGTAGTGAAATATTCTGCCCAAAAAATGTATTCTCATCTGTGCTTACAAATGAATAACTGCAGTAAGCAAGAGATTATACCAACATCTAAGATAGAGAAGAACAATACAAGAAAAGAAAACTGTAAGCCAATATATCTGATGAGCATAGGTATAAAAATCCTCAACAAAATACTAGCAAACCAAATTAAATAGCAACTGAACATGATCATACATCATGACCAAGTGGACTTTATCTCAGGGATGCAAGGATGCTTTAACATATGCAAATCAATAAATACGATACACCACATTAACAGAATGAAAGACAAACATGATCATCTCAAGCAATGCAGAAAAGCGTTTGACAAAATTCAATAATCTTTCCTGATAAAAATTCTCAAAATATTATCTGTAAAAACTGAACCTCATGATAATAAATGGCATTTAAGAAAAGGTCATAGCTAACTTCACATTTAATAGTGAAATTTCCTCTAAGATCAAGAATGATACAAGGATGTCCATTCTCGCCACTCCTAACCAATATAGGAATAGCCAGAGCAATTAGGCAATAAACAAATAAAAGGCATTTAAATCAGAAAGAAAAAAGTGAAAATTGTCTCAGTTTGCATATGACATAATCTTGTATATAGTAAGACTCCACCAAAAGTAGTTAGAACTAATAAATGAATTCAGCAAAGTTGCAGGATACAAAACCAACATTCAAAAGTCAGTAGCATTTCCATATAGCAACAATAAACTATCCAAAAAAACAGAAATAAAGAATCTGATTTACAATAGCATAAAAGTACACTTAAGAATAAATTTAACCAAGGAAGTGAAAGATATGTACACCAACTCTATGAGATATCAATGAAAGAAATTGAAGAAGACACAAATTAAGGGAAAAATATTTTCATCTATGGATCAGAAGAACCAATATTGTTAAACAGCCCACGCTATCCAAAGCTCTATAGATTGAATGCAATACCATTAAAAATTCAAAAGGCATTTGTCATATAAATAAGAAAGATAAGTGTATAATTCCTAAGGAACCAGAAAACACCTCAAATAGCTAAATCAATACTAAGAAGAACAAAGCCAAAGGCATCACCCTGAGTTCAAATTATTTTACAAAGATATAGTAATCAAAACAGAATACAGAGACCAGAAATAAACCCACCCATACATAGTCAACTAATACTCAACAAAGATACCAAAAATATGCAATAAGTTAAAGATACAGGCATATCCTGGAGAGATACGGATTTAGTTCCAGACCACTGCAATGAGGTAAATATCACAATAAAATAAATCACATGAATCTTTTCTTTCCCAGTGTATATAAAAGTTATATTTATATTATACCATAGTCTATAAGTATGCAAAAGCATTGTCTAAAAATACTTATTTCGATTTAAAAATATTGCTAAAAATGCTAATGTTCCTCTGAGCCTTCAGTATGTCATAAACTTTTTGCCAGTATATAGAGTTTTGCCTCAAAATTGATGGCTGATACCTTATCAGGGTGATGGCTGCTGAAGGCTGGGGTGGCTGTGACAATTTCTTAAAGCAAGACAACAATGAAATTTGCCACATGAATAGACCCCTTCCTTTCATGAAAGATTTTAGTCTATCATGTGATGTTGTTTAATAGTTTTTTACTCAAAGTAGAACTACTTACAAAATTGAAGTCAATTATTTCAATCCCTGACACTGCTTCATCAAATTTAATTCATATTCTAAATCCTTTGTTGTAATTTCAAAATTTTCACAGCATCTTCACAAGGTGTATATTTAATCTCAAGAAACTACTTTTTTTTGCTCTTCTATAAAAAGCAACTCCTCATTTGTTCAAGTTTTATCATGACATTGTAGCAAGTCAGTCACATCTTCAAGCTCCATTCTAATTCTAGTTCTCTTGGTCTTTCCACCACATGTGCAATTACTTTTCCCACTGAAGTCCTGAACTACTCAAAGTTATTCATAAGGGTAAGAATCAACTTCTTCTAAACTCCTGTTAATGTGGATATTTTGGCCTCTTCTCCAAATTATAGGTGTTTATAATAGCATCTAGAATGGTGATTTCTTTCCAGAAGATTTTCAATTGACTTTGCCCAGATCCATCAGATAAATGACTATCTATGGCAGCTATAGCCTTATGAAAGTATTTCTTAAATAATGAGACTTAAAAGTCAAAATTACTTCTTGATGCACTGGCTACAGAATGGACCTAACAAGGGAGTAAGCATGTCCTTTGAAGCTTTAAGGCCAAACATTGACTTCCCCTCTATAGCCAGGAAAGTCCTATGTGGCATCTTCTTCCAACAGAAGCCAATTTTGTCTCCATTGAAAAGTATAGACACCTTCATTAATGATCTTACTTAGATATTACAGATTATTTTCTGTAGCTTCCACATCACTGCTTGCTGTTTCACCTTGCCCTTTAAAAAATGCTTATGGTTATATAGTAGCTGTATATATTTATAGAGTACATGAGATATTTTGATACAGGCATACAATACATAATAATCACATCAGGATAAATGGGTTATTCATCTCACCACAAGCATTTGTACTTTCTTTGTGTTACAAACATTCCAATTATACTCTTTCAGTTATTTTAAATTGTACAATATGTTTTGACCGTAATTACCCTGTTGTGCTATCAAATACTAGATATTATTTATGCTAACTATATTTTTGTACCCATTAATCACCCCCACTAACTCCTCCCAGGTCCACTACCCTTCCCAGATACTGGTAACCATCATTCTACTCTCTATCCTCATGATTATAATATTAAATATTAAAACAATATGTAACCCCCATAAATGAGTGAGAACATGTGAAGTTTGTCTTTTTTGCCTGGCTTATTTCACTTAACATAATGACCTTTAGTCCAATCCATGATGTTGCAAATGACATGATCTCATTCTTCATTATGGCTAAATGGTACTCCATTGTGTATATGCACCACAGTTTTTTATTGATTGATTTGTTGATGAACACTTAAGTTGCTTACAAATCTGGACTATTATGAGTAGGGCTTCAATAGGATTATTATAAATAGGGAGTGTCGATATCTGTTCAATATATTGATTTCCTCTCCTTGGGGTATATACCTAGCAGTGGGATTGCTGGATCATATTGTAGTCCTATTTTCAGTTTTTTGAGGGAATGCCATACTGTTTTTCATAGTGGCTGTACTAATTTACATTCTCATCAAGTGTGTATGAGGGTTTGCTTTTCTTCACTTCCTAACCAAAATTTGCTATTGCCTGTTTTTTGGATTAAAGCCATTTTTACTAGGGTAAAATGATATCTCATTGTATTTTGATTTGCATTTCTCTGATGATCAATGATGTTGAGCTTATTTTCATACATCTGTTAGCCATTTGTATGTCTTCTTTTTATAAATGTACATTCAGAGTTTCTGCTTATTTTTTAATTGGATTACTGGAGTTTTTCCTATTGAATTTTTTGAGCTCCTTCTATATTCTGGTTATTAATCCCTTGTAGAAGATAGTTTGCAAATGTTTTCTCCCTTTCTGTGGGTTATCACTTCACCATGTGAATTATTTTCTTTGCCTTGCAGAGGCTTTCTAACATGATGTGACCCCATTTGTTCAATTTGGCTTTGGTTGCCTGTGCTTGTGGAGTATAACTCAAGAAATCTTAAATGACTTTTTCTTTTACAATTTGGATGTCTTTTATTTCTCTCTCTTCTCTGCTTTTCCTAGGATTTCCACTACTGTGTTAAACTACACTGGTGACTAGGTGCATCTTTGTATTGTTCCAGAACTTAGCGGAAAGCCTTTCAGGTTTTTTCTTTTTGGTATAATGCTAGCTGTGGGTTTGTCATACATGGCTTTATTGTGGTGAAGTATGTTTCTTCTATAGCCATTTTAAAGAGTTTTTATAATAAAGAGATGTTCAATTTTATAAAATACTTTTTCAGTATCAATTAAAATGGTTATATGGTTTTTGTTCTTCATTTCATCGCTATTATGTATCACACTGACTGGCTTGTGTATGGCAAACCCCACTTGCATTCTTGGAATAAATCTCACTTGGTCATGATGGACTTCTTTTTATACTATTGTTTAATTTAATTTGCTAGTATTTTCTTGAAGATTTTTCCAATATTCACTAGGGACACATTCTGACGTGTCTTTGTCTGGTTTTGTTATCAGTATAAAACTGGTTTCACAGAATGAGTTTGAAACTATTTCTTCTCCCCAATTTTTAAAAATATTTGAGTAGAACTGGTATTATTTCTACTTCACATGTTTGATAAAGCTTGGCAGTGAAACAATTGGGTCCCAGGCTTTTCTCTTCTGGGGGATTATTTACTTATTTCTTTTTACAACTTCTATCTCATTACTTACTGGTCTATTCAGGTCTTGAATTTTTCATGGCTCAATCCTGGTAGATTGTATGTCTAGGGATATATCTATTTCTTCTAAGTTTTCCAATTCATTGGCATATACGTGCTCAAAGTAGTCTCCAGTGATCCCTTGAATTTTGCAATATCAGCTGTAATTACCTGTTTTTCATCTCTGATTTTTTAAATTTATTTGTCTTTGTTAATCTGGCTCGAGTTTTGTCAGTTTTAACTTTTCAAAAAATGATCTTTTCATTTCTTTGACCTTTTGTTTTGTTTTTGCTTCAATTTTACTTATTTCTGCTCTGATTTTTAATATTTTTAATATTTCTTTCATTTTATTAATTTTGGGCTTGGCTTTCTCTTTCTTTTCTAGTTCCTTAAGATGCATCCCTGGGTTGTTTATTTGAAGTTTCTCTAATTTTTTTATGTAGGTGTTTATTGCTATAAACTTTCCTATTAGTACCACTTTCTCTGTATCCCATAGGCTTTGGTATGCTCTCTTTCCATTTTCATTTGTTTCAAGAAGTTTTAAAATTTTTTTCTTAATTTCATTATTAACCCACTGGTCATTCAGGAGCATATTGTTTAATTTCCATGTGTTTGTATAGTTTCAAAAACTTCTCTTCTTGTTTATTTCTAGTTTTCTTCCCATTGTAGTCAGAGAAGACACTTTTTTTGAATTTTTTAAGTTTGGGTTTTTTTGTGGCTTAACATATGGTCTGTCCTTAAGAATGAATATATGTGCTGAGAAGAATAATGTGTATTCTGCAACTGTTTGGGAAAATATTATTTAAATGTCTTGTAGGTCCATTTGGTCCATAGTGCAGATTAAATCTGGTGTCTTTGTTGTTGATCTTTTGCCTGGATGATCTATCTAAGGTGAAAGTGGGGTTATTAAGTCTTTAGCTATTATTGTATTGGGTCTATCTCTCTCTTTAGGTCTAATAATATTTACTTTATATATCTGAGTACTCCAGCTTTGGGTGCATATATATATATACACACATATACAATTGCTACATTTTCTTGCTGATTTGACCCTTTTATCATTATATGATGACTTTCCTTGTCTCTTTTTACAGTTTCTTTCTTGAAGCCTATTTTACCTAATATAAGTATAGCTACTCCTGCTCTTTTCTGGCTTCCATTTGCATAGAGTATCTTTTCCCATGTCTTTATTTTTAGTTTATATGAGTTTTTACAGGTGAAATGTCACCTTGCACTTGTATGTTATGGAGATTTAATGGTATGTTAACTCTTGAACCAGCCTCTGCTAGTATCAAATTTTTCTTCTGTATCTTTCTTACATCTCTCAACCTTCACAGGTTTGAAGTGAGTTAGGCCCTTGACCTGAAGTAGGCTTTGGCTTAAAGAAATGTTGTGTCTGGTTTGATCTTCTATCCAGAACACTCACTTTCTCCATAACAGCAAGAAGACTGTTTTGCTTTCTTATAATTTATGTGTCCACTAGAGTCTCATTTTAACTTCCTTTGAAAATCTCTCTATTGCATACACAGCTTGGGTAACTGTTTGGCACATGAGGCTTGCCTTTTGGCCTATCTTATGTTTCTACATGCATTTCTCTGTAAGCCTAATGATTTTTTCAAGCATTTGATTAAAGTGAGGGATATGAAATTCTTTCTTTTACATGAACACTTAGAGGCCATTAGAAGGTTATTAATTGGGCTAATTTCAATACTGTTGTATCTCAGGGAATAGGGAGGCCCAAGAAGAGGGAGAAATGGGGAATGGTTGGTTAGTACAATAGTCAAAGCACATACAGTCTCTATCAATTAAGTTTGTCATCTTTTATGGGTAGAGTTTGTGATGCCCAAAACTACTACAATAGTAACATCAAAGATCAGTAATCACAGGTCACCATAACAAATATAATAATTTTTTAAAGTTTAAATATTTAAAAAATAACGAAACTGTGACACAGAAACACAAAGTGAGCATATATTGTTGGAAAAATAATGCCAATAAAATTGAATGACACCGGGTTGTCACAAACCTTCAATTTGTTAAAAAAAAAATCAGTATTGTGAAGTACAATAAAATGAAGTATGCTTGTAGTCACTTTAGTAAAGGGTATTGGAAAAACCGGATAGCCATAATAAAATTGAAATTGGATTCTTATCTTACACTATACACATAAATCAACTCAAATAGACTATAGACTTAAATATGTCATGATATTATCAATATTCCAGAAGAAAATCTTCTTACTATTGGTCTTGGCAATAGTTTGTTTGGATATGACACCAGAAGCACATGTAACAAAATAAAAAGCAAACAAATGGAGCTACATCTAACTAAAAAGTTTTTGCACAATAAAGTAAACAACAAAATAAAAAGACAACCTATCAAAGGTCACAAAATATTTTCAAACCATCTATCTGATGAAGGGCTAATATGCAAAAGACATAAAGAATTCATACAACTCAACAGCAAAAATGAAAACAAATAAACCAATTAAAAATAGCCAAATGACCTGAAAAGACATTTCTCGAAAGAAGATATGCAAAAGGCTAGCAGATATCTGAAGAAATCTTCAACATCACTATTCAGCAGGGAAATGCACATCAAATCCATATTGAGATGTCTCCTCACATCTGTGAGGATGACTGTTATTTAAAAAGTAAAATAAAAAGTTAGTGAAAATTTAGAGAAAAGTAAACCCATGTACACTATTGGTAGTGTTGTTATTTGGTAAAGCCATCATAGAAAACAATATAGGGGTTCCTCAAAAAACCAGAAGTGTTTCCATCATAAGACACAGCAATCTCATGATGTAGTATACACCCAAAAGAAATGAAATCAGTATTTTGACAACATATCTGCACTCACATGTTCATTGCAGTATTACTCACAATAGCCATAATATAGAAAATTCTAAGAACTGGTCAATGAATGAATACATAAAGAATATGCAGTGTCTGAACACAATGGAATACAACTCAGCCTTAAAAAAAAGGAAACTCTGACATTTGTGACCTGTATAAACCTGGAGGACATTATTTTAAGTGAAATAAGCCAGACACAGAGAGAAAAATATTGTGTGATCTCACTTATATGTGCAATATAAAAATTTGGATTCATAGAGAGTAAATGGTGGTCGCAGGAGGCATGTGGTTCACAGGATAAAAACTTTTATTTATAAGTGACTAAGTTCTGGAGACCTAATTTACAACATCATCACTATAGTTCATAATAACGTATTGTACATTTGAAAGTTGCTGGGGAGTAGATATAGAATGTTCTTCCCCTCTCTCCCTTGCACCCCCCCAAAAAGATAAGTAAGAGATAGTTTAATTAGCTTGATTGGGAGTCCTTTTACAATGTACACATATATCAAAATATTGCACAGTATATCTGAAATACATGCAATATTTATTTATCACTCATACCTAAATAAAACTGAAAAAGATTATACAATGTGGATAATTATAGTAGCTTGTATTTGTATCATATTTTTGAATTTGTCTTAAAGAGAAGTAAAAAGGGACTTGTTTTGAAATTAAGATAATTAGTTTTTAATTATTTGATGCTTATATTACTTTCTCAGATATAATATACACATTAACTTATTTTGCTTTTGCCAAAAACAATTATACATAATAGGCAGCTTTTGTATATATCATGGTAGTAGTGAGTGTACTTAAATTTTAAAACATATTTTTAAAAAAACTTCTTTGTGAATTTAGATTAAAAACAATGGGGAAAGAATAAAAAGTATATACAAAAGTGTTGATTTTCTTAGAGGAAATAAGAAATTAGAATAAATAATGTGAGGGATTATAATTAATGCAGTGACAAATAAATGGATGCTAGTTGATGAAGGAATGTTTTACAAGTTTTCATACCCACATTTAATGATTTTTGCAAATTAGCCTTGAAGAAAAGCATTCAAGTGGGGAAACAAGTAGCTTTTGCTGTTAATACAACTAATGCAAGAACAGTATCCATTAGGTATTTACATAGTGAATATTTGTCTACTATTCCCCTTAATGAAAATAAAGTTTCAATTAGAAAGTCACTAAGGATTTGTTTCAGAAAATCTAATTGGCTATATTTTTAAGTAAGTATTTAAACTGTGTGAAATAAAAGAAAGCTAGAAGAATGAGAAACATCAAAAGGAGGGAGAAATTAGGAAGCCAGAACTTGGAATAGGTAATGGACAAGATAATTTTTTTCAAAGATGTATTGTGAAAGGACTGCCTTGCTGTCTTCAAAGGCAGCTCAAAAATTGCACTTTATTATCACCATTATTATTTCTGCAATCACTGTAACCACAGACATGCACAGCTTTACAGAGGCATGAGTAACAAGGAAGATAATTCACCACCCTTCTTTAGGACAATATTAGGAATTTGAAAGCAATATGTTTTCCCTTGTGTGAATAATGTGCTCATAGATGATATTAGATTTATTTTGAAGCATCACAGATAATTCCAATGACAAATGCATTTCATTGTATCTTTTACATTACTTTCTCAATTAAGCAATTTAGAGAGCTATCTACTGTATATTTACTGCAGCATTAGGCAAGACCTCCAATTAACCTAGTGAAGCCGCTGGATGTTAGCATTACCTTGGACAATCAAATGGATACTTTTCTTATCCAGAAGGCTATAGTTTTTTATAGTAAACCCCAAATACTTGTCATGATGGGATGACAATAGACCAAAATGAAAATACCTAGTATTCTAGTAGATATATAGGCTACAAAACAATGTTTAATAAAATACCCAGCACGATATGTCAGCTAAGGTATGGGAAAAGTCCTTTACAGAAGACACCCCTAAGTAATCTATTATTTTCACATAAAAATATCTTAAAAATAAATAAATAAAAATATCTTAAAAATTTTGTGGAAATATTTATAGGTTATTTATTTGTTTGTGGGGAGGTATACCTCAAAAATACGGTCACTGAAACAAAGTTTAAATAACAATAATAATAATAATGAAACATTTATCAGCAATGTATTACAATCAACTAAAAAAACACAACAATGTATCTTAAGCTCTAAGTTTGACTCCATAGAATGCTTAAAATTTTTAACTTTAGGTTTATAGCTCATTTATTAAATTTTTCTTGTAAATTTTATTAAATTAATTTTTGTGAAGAAGAAAAATTACTTACATTAGTCACAGAGGCAGTTAATTAAGAGGTAGCCATGAGGCTGCAGCTGTAATGTAGGATCTGCATGGGACAGATGGGGACACTGAATGGCAAAGAGAAAAAATGAGAGTAGAAATGAGACTTGAATCCATGTGGTGCATATTATAAGTACTTTAATGGAATCTAAATATTTATTTTATTTACTTTCATAAGCCAATAAACACCTTTATTACTAATTTTACAATGTTTACTAACATTCAAGATTACTTTGGAATTTTGTGGAAATATTTTACTACTGGTAAGAGGATAAAGATTACTATTAATGCAAATTAGATTTTTCTATTTATAACTTTAAACAAATTAAAGGCCTAAAATTAACTCTGAATTTTCTCTACATATATAAAGTTTAATAAACATATTTCTGTAACAATATATAATTTAACACATAAAATATAATTATGTTCTTACTTCATATGGTAGATTTTTCTATAAAAATTAATTTTACTCTTTTAAAATTACCAGTAAAGAGAAGCAGTAAATTCTGATTACATGAGCAAACCGTTAAAGTTAATTTTATAATTTTTAATTAAAAGTTGAAAAAATGGGAAATCAGTTTGGATTTTTTCTCCAAAATAAAAATACTATATTGTAACCAAGTCAAAACTTTTACAGCTCACTGTATGGCAGCCAATAAGTCAAGGGACTAGTTGATGGAGCAAAGAGTTGACTTTATTTAGAAAGCCAGCAAAACGAGAAGATGGTGGACTTCCATCCTAAAGAACCATCTTAATATGAATTTTAGATACCTTTTATGTTAGGGGAAGAGGAAAGAGGGAGGAGGTTGAGGTCAAGATATGATTGATGACCACAAACATCTATGCAGCAGTGAGGGTCTGAAGAGATTGTGAAACTTCTTTGTTCTTGATCCGGTCACAGTGCTCTTACAAAACTTTAGCATAACATTTTTATTTGTGTGTACGCCCTCTTTATATCCTCAAGGTTTAGTTTGGGGAAAGGACTATTATCATTCTTGCCTTAAAGTTACACTAAAAACTAAGTTACTCCCATTGTTAGTTTTTCTTACAAGCAGAGATAAGTAAAAGGATTTATCCTAAAAGTTATCACCACAGGGAGAGGAAGAGTTAGAAGCAAAATGGAGATAGTCATGCGGGGCCCCCTTTTCACTGGTACATATATGGCTTTCTATGACAGAGTAGGAGTTTGTGCAATCTCATTTCTCTTGAATGTCACACAATAGCTTTGGTGACATGAGTGTGGATACAAAAGGTTGTCACACTTGCCCTTTTCCCTCACTGGCAGAAGGCAGCCACCTCACATGAGAAGTCAGAGGACCCACTGAGCTGTTAACTCTTAAGCCACCTGTGGACAGCAGAACTTACAGAGCACTGTAACACTCCCTCTGGGGCTTCAGGGGTTGCACCCTCGCCCCCCAGATGCTGCTGCGGGGCATGCATGGAATCTGCTCCTGCTGGTGCCCAAAATCACTAGTCCTGGTTTCTGCACCCACTCACCCATGAGCTCCCTCCCATGAGGTGTGGAATGCAGCAGGTCTGAGTGAGTGAAGTTTACTTCTGCCATCACTGAAGTGGCTGACTAGTTCCATTCATGCACTCCAGTTCCCACCTCATTCACTCACATGCTCCCTCCCATGAGGAGCTGAAAGCTGTGGACTGGGTAAATGAGGCACCCCTGTCAAGGGTCCCACGAGGGGTCACGGAAATATCCCGCTTCATCTAGGGATATGTCTGGGATGTATCAGAAGGGTGAATAAATAAATGCAGATATACTGGATCTGTGTCTTTACTTTTTTCCCAAGACTTCTTGTCCTCAGACTTTCCTCTGAGCTATGCCATTTTCAGATAACAGGATGCAACCCTGCCATATCTCTCTTTCAGGTGAAAGAAAGGTTGGCTCAGTGTCCCTTCATGAAGGTCTACCTATCATGTGGGACCAGAATAAAGTCCTGGAGCTACTCTGAAGTCATCTGGCCAAAGACACTCTTTAGCATTGCTGGAAGTCCCCTAGACTGGGCCCTGTCTTCAACCACCTGACAACCAGACTTTTCTGTCGCATCTTTTCCGTTCTTCTTTCAGGGTGTGAAATGGCTCCTATCTCTTCTTTTATAATGTTAAGGGTTTTGCTACAAACTGCAGAAATGTTATTAGGTAAAATGGGCATTTGGGCCAGCCACCAGATATGCAGTTCAGAAAATGTGATTTCCATTTGTTCTTAGAGATGCCATCCCAACCCCCTCCCCAACGGTGAGTGCAGCACACAGTGGCTCCCTCCTTACCTTCTCCCCTCCCAGCTGGGGTACTTGGTTGTGTTCGCAGCATGCACTTGCCACACCCAATGGCCATGTGGGGTGGGTGAGACCCGCAGCCGCTGCCAGGGCACCAAGACACTCTAGGGCGCCAGGGGTCCCATGCAGCCCGTTGACCAGTGTTTCCCACTTGCAGTCCCCTTCTGCCACATGCCCAAAGAGTCTTTTCTCCTCTGTCTGAGGGGTCCAGCTCGGTCCAACCCACGGGAAGAATAGGGTGATTCAAGGAACCCATATTCATAGAGCAAGAGTTTCTTCGCCCGGGCGTGGTGGCTCACACCTGTAATCCCAACACTTTGGGAGGCCGAGGTGGGCGGATCATGAGGTCAGAGATCGAGACCATCCTGGCTAACATGGTGAAACCGTGTCTCTACTAAAAATACAAAAAATTAGCCGGGCATGGTGGTGGGCACCTGTAGCCCCAGCTACTCAGAAGGCTGAGGCAGGAGAATGGCGTGAACCCGGGAGGCGGAGCTTGCAGTGAGCCGAGATGGCGCCACTGCACTCCAGACTGGGCGACAGAGTGAGACTCCGTCAAAAAAAAAAAAAAAAAAAAAAAAGATTCTTCTCCCACTTGAAAGAAAAATCAGATCTGACGGATCCAAAGCCAGGCCACAGGCACAGTGTAAATTGGCAGGACTAGTTTCTGCCGATTACGCCCTCTCTTCTTGGAAATAGGCCATGCTCAATGGTATAGATAAGGCTCAGGGAACCCAAAAATTGGGGATGGAGGTGTAGGTGTGTGTGTGAATAATTCCTTTTCCCTAGGGCCTTCCTGCTTTATGAGTGCAGGCCACAACGGCACCCATGGGTGGTGTCTAAGGTCTCCAGGTCTCTGGGATAAAAAGACAAAACAGAAAAGAGGGAATCCTGTATTCTTTCTCTCCCACATGCTGAGTTTTTGCTGAAAGAGGGAAGGGAAATGTGGGACATCTATTTTCCTCTTCAGAATGGGTGACCAACTATCTTCACCATCCTCAGTCTATATTTCTCCGAAGTGTATTTTGAATCACGGGGGCTGCTTTGATCCTTAGACTCTGGAGCAAAAATGTGTTTTGCACAAAGGCTTAGCCAAATTATAATCTGCTAGAAGGACTGACTCGGGAAGGACCCATTCATCTTCATACCATCCTGCAGTTGGACCTTTTCTGTAAATATGAAGACAAGTGGTCTGAGGCCCCATATGTGCAGGCTTTCTTTACCCTTCAGGGTAATAATCCAGGCCTTTGTCAACAGTGTAGGATTGATCAAGCCCTCCATGTTGCCATCTCAGGAGAGGCTGCCCAATATCAGGAAACTAAAGAAACAAACTCCAGAGGCACCTCAAGCAGGACGGTCAGCTCTGTCTGTCCCTGTTCCTCTGGGTCCACTCCATCTTCCCTATTCAGTTTCTCACTCGCACTTGCCCTCTCCTAGAAATCCTCATCCTAGATAAGCCCCAGTCTCACTGTTGCCCCTCCAAAAGATGCCTGGTCAATTTGGCCCCAGTAAGATCCAGGTCCCCTTCTCTCTACAGGACTTAAAGCAAAGTAAGGGGCATCTTGGTAAGTTTTCTGATGACCCTGACAGATATTTAGAGGCTATCCAGAATTTAAGCCAAGTATTTTAACTCACCTGCAAAGGTGTTATGTTACTTTTGAATCAAACCCTGACTAACATTGAGAAGCAGTCCACTCCACAAGCAGCAGAGAGATTTAAGAATGAGATTTGTATCACATATACTGTCAGAGAAGGGGTCAAACTTTATCCAACTGGAAGATAAGTAGTACCATTGAATGACCCTAAACGGGATCCCAATGATGAGAAGGGAGAATGGAAGAGAAGACACTTTCAGGTGTGCATAATGGAGGGCTTACATGGGCCTAGAACCAAGCCTCTTGTTTATACCAAGCTATCCATAATAGATGAGGAATTTGATGAGATTCCACTGCCTTCCTGAAAAGGCTAAGAGAGGCCTTGGTAAAGCACACCTCTCTACCTCCTGATTCAGCTGAAGGACAACTAATCCTAAAGGATAAATTTATTACTCAGGCAACCCCTGATATCAGGAGGAAACTATACAAACAGGTCCTGGGACCAGACAGTACTTTAGAGAACCTCCTGAAAGTGGCCACCCTGGTCTTTTATAATAGATACAAGAAGACCCCAGAGAGAGAGAGAGAAGACAAAGGAAAGAGGTAGAAACTTTAATGGCCACCATGGAAGCCCACAAGCCCCAGAATCTCTGAGGTGCACTTGTTAACAGCTACAGATTTGGTAAATCAGGGCATTTTAGGGAGGATTGCCTAGGCAGCATGAAAAACCCATCTTGACCCTGTTCAATCTACAGTGAGGATTACTGGAAGGTGAACTTCCCCCAGGGATTCTGGTCACTGGGCCCAGAGCCAATTTCCCAAATGGTCCAGTAGGAATGAGGAGTCGTGGGGCTTCTCTCCCTGGCTCTGATGGTCCAGATCACCATTAACATCCAGGAGCCCTGGGTAATTCTGGAAACTGAAGGAAGGAAAGTAGACCTCTTTCTGGACACCGGGGCTGGTCTCTTGGTTATTTTCTCCAATTCTGGCCCCCTCTACTTTCTTAGCATGACCATGTGGGGTGTCTCAAGAAGGTCTTTAACCTGATATTTTTTCCTAATCCCTTAGTTGTTGGTGGGGAGACCTCTTGTTCACTTGTGCCTTTCTAATTATGCCTGAAAGCCCAACTCCTCTGTTTGACAGGGATATTTTGGTCCATATGGAGACCACCTGATGGCTTCAGTACAAACTCTTTGTTTCTTCCTAGTAAATACCAATATTAACCTAGAAGTTTGGGCAATTCAAGGGAAAATTGGCTGAGCCAAAATTGCCATACAGGTCCAGATCCATTTTAAGGATCCCAACCCCTTTTCTAACCAGAAACAATACTCTGTGAAACCAGAAGTTAGGAAAGAACTAGAAGCCATCATTGGTAATTGAAGGTGGCAGGGCCTCCTCAAACCCTAAAACAGACCTTGTGATACCTCAATGTTGGGGGTACAAAAACCCAATGGGAAATGGAGACTACTTCAGGACCTTCAACTCATTAATGAGGTTGTGGTTTCAATTCACCAGGTGGTTCCCAATCCATACACCCTGCTAGCTCAAACACCTGAGGGAACTAAATGGTTCATAGTCCTGGACCTAAAAAATGTCTTCTGAATACCATTACACCCTGACTGACAGTATTTGTTTACATTTGAGGATCTCTCTAACCAAATCACCCATTTATCCTGGATGATGTTACTCAGGTATTCTGAAACACTCACCACTTCGTTTGGGCAGGCCTTATCAAAAGACCTCTCTGAGTTTGTTTATCATCAGGGTAAAGTTTTACAATATGTAGTTGACATTATTCTGTGCACTCCAACCGAGGAAATCTCTCAAGAGAGCAGTAAGGCTCTTCTTAATTTTTCTGGCTAACAGAGGATATAAGGTTTTAAAATCTAAAGCTTAGCTCTGTCAAGCTTCAGTGAAGTGACTAGGTCTGGTCTTTTCAGAGGGGACCTGGAAATTGGAGGAAGAAAAGATTAAGCCTGACTTCTCCTTTTCCCTCCCCAAACCCTCAAGCAACTGAGGGGATTCATAGATATTATGGGATTCTCCAAACTATGGATCCTTGGCTACAGTGAAATAGCTCATCCCTTATATCACCTAATAAAAGAGACTTAAGCAGCTAATACCTACTCTTTAATTTTGGAACCAGAGGCTAGAAAGGCCCTTGACTAACTAAAACAAGGCTTGCTTAAGGCACCAGTCATAAGTTTTTCCATAGGAAATATTTTTAACTTTTACGTGTCAGAAAGGAAGTGAATGCTCCTGGGAGTTGTAACCCAGGCTCGGGGTCCAGCCCAGCAGCCTGTAGGGTATTTAAGTAAGGAACTTGTTTTTGTAGCCAAAAGATGGCCAGCCTGTCTCTGGGCAGTTGCAGCAGTAGCTTTGCTGGTACAGGAGGCTACTAAGTCAACCATAGGAAATAACTTAACTGTTTATACTCCACATAATGTGGCAAGACTGCTGTCTTGTCTATGGCTAATGGACAACTGCCTCTTCAGGTAACAAGCTAGCTCTGCTATTATAGGGTCTGCATTCCACTTAACAAGCTGTCCCTAGTCCCTAAATCCAGCCACTTTCCTTCCACAGGAAGCTGGAGAGCTTGAATATGACTGTGAACAGACAGCAGTACAAACCTATGTGTCCAGAGAGGACCTCAAAGAAACACCATTAGAGAAACAAGACTGGATTACCTTTATGGACAGTTCTTTTGTAGAACAAGGAATCCATAAAGCAAAGTATGCAATAGTTACTCTGAATGACATTGTTAAGAGCATGTCTCTCTCTTCAGGCACAAGTGTTCAACTAGATGAGCTAATTGTGTTCACAGGGGCACCGAAACAAGGGAAAATGGTTCACATTTATGCTGATTCTAGTCAGCATAGTCTTCCTCACAGCTAACAAGTCTCCCATTAAATACCATCAGGAAATTAGTAGACTATTATCCTAGGTTATCCTCTCATGAAAAGTGGCAGTAATACATTGTAAATGCCACCAAAAAGTGACTGGATAAAATAGCCAAGAGAAATACGTTGATAGACCAAGTGGCTAAATCAGCAGCAAAAGGGGTCCACATTTAGGAGTCACTTGAAGCCCCACTGATCTGAGAGGGCTTCATAAGTGAAATAAAACCTCAATGATCTGCAAAAATAGAATGGGCCACCTCTTGGGGATATATCTTTCAGTCCTCAGGATGGCTAAAATGAGAGGATGCCAAGCTTCATCTACTGGCTGCCAACCAATAGAAAGTCCTCAAAAGCCTTCACCAGGCCTTCCACCTAGGTAAGGATAAAACCTATCAACTGGTCCAGATCTTTTTCTCAGGTAAAAACCTGATACAAGTGGTTAAATAGGTTTTTAATGCTTTCCAGACTTGCCTTAAAAAGAATCCCCTCAACTGATGCCTTCTTCCCGCAGGAACCCAAAGGACAGTTGGCTACCCAGGGAAAGACTGGCAAATGAATTTCACCAGTATGCCAATGGTAAGGGGCATCTAGTACCTCCAAGTATGGATAGGTACTTTTACTAACTGAGTAGAAGCATTTCTATGTTGAACAGAGAATACCTCTGAGAAGATTAAGATATTAATTAATTAGATACTTCCTTGTTTTGAACTTCCTAAGTACCTCTAGAGTGATAATGGACCCTCATTCAAGGCAGCTGTCACCCAGGGAGTCTCAAAGGCACTAGGCATACAGTACCATCTTCATTGTGCTTGGATACCAGTATCCTTGGGAAAGTTAGAAATGAAAAATGATATTATCAAAAGACACTTCAGGAAACTGTCTCAGGAGATTGATATCCCTTGGACTATCCTCCCCATATCCCTACTACATGTTAGAAACACCCCTTCAAAGTTAGGTTTGAGTCCGTTTGAAATGATATATGGAGGGCCTTATCTCACTGATGTTTTTTGCTAGACTAAGAAACCTCTGATTTAATTAAACATATAATTTTTTTGTGCCATATCTAAGAGGAACTGAAACAACTGATGGAGGCCCAATCCGATGAACTAGGCCCACTCAATTCAACCCAAGGAATCTAGTACTGGTAAAGGTACTTCCTTCTCTTGCTCTCTCTATAAGCCCAGACTGGCAGGGACCTTACACCATACTTCTTTCTACTCATATGGTAGTGAAGGTCACTGGAATAGATTATTGGATTCATTATAGCTGAGTAAAGGACTGGGAAGTTAACAGAATTACCCTGTCAACCCAGAAGAGCATCCAAAGTACCAATGTGAAGATATCGGTGACCTCGAGCTAAAACTTACAAAAGATTAGTGTTAATAATTAACCTCCCATTGGTATCCTTTTTATAGTCTTGCCTATGCTTGTTATTCTTACCTTCGATCTGTTCTATACCAGATCGAATAATTTCAGAATTAGTATATTTCACTTTTTATTTCTGTAATCTTTGGCAATAGATTCTTTCCTCTTAACTCCTTTTTTGTATAATACACATATTTGATCTATGCATACTTAACCTTGTAAAATTTGTTTCTTCTTGTCAAGAGGCCATTAAACTCCAAATGATCAGGCAACTGGAGCCTCAGATGATGGCTCCCTTCTGCCGAGGAACCTTAGGTAGACCTCTGGGAGGAATTCCTCAGGGAGGAATTCTCCCCAAAGCAATGTCCCCTGTAAGCAGGGAGTAGCTATGATTGGTCATCATCCATATTCTAACTGCAGTTAGATGTGTCTCTTAAGAGGAGGGAAATAATAGGAAGAGGAGGCAGAGAAATTCTAGGCAGAACAAGGTGGTCCCCAACAAAATCCCATCCTCAAGCCTGAAACCATGGCTCAAAGTGAAAACTTACATCCCTGTTTTTCTGCTTAAATGTTGTCTTTTTCAAAAACACCCATGGCCCCGCTCCACCCATACTGCGACTAAAAAAACCCAGACTCAGCTGGCAGAGAGAGGAGAAGCAGCTGGATGTCAAAGACTACTGCTGGACTTTGGAGAAAATTGGCTTGACTTCAGAAGGATAGCGAGATGTCATAACTTTGGAGAAGAATCTGGTCAAAGATGGCCGGACTTCAGGGAAAGATTAACTTCCTGCCCCATCCCATTTTCAGGTTCCCTTCCTGCAGAGAACCACTTTCTTTGGCAATATAACCTCCCACATTTACTATCCTTCAATTTCTTCATGCGACCTAATTTCTCCTGAATGCCAGACAAGAGCTCAGGTGCCACATGTGTGGATACAAAAGGCTGTCACACTTGCCCTTTGCCCTCACTAGCAGAAGGCAGCCACCTCATGTGAAAAGGCAGAGGGCCCACAGAGCTGGTAACACTTAAGCCGTCCATGGATGGCAGAGCTAGAAGAGCAATTTAACACTCCCTCTGGAGCTTCAGGGGTCACAGGAAACCCCCATTTGCTGTCACAGGGCCTGCACAGAGTTTATGCCTGCCAGAACCCAAGAGCACTCGCTCTGGCTTCTACATGCACTCACCTGTGTGCTCCCTCTCATGATGGATGAAGCGCAGGAAGTCTGAGTGATTGAAGTTTGCTCCTGTCAGCTCCGAAGTGGGTGGTTGTTTCCAGAGTTCATGCATTCCAGTTCCCACCTCGTTCACTTGCATGCTCCCTCCCATGAGGAGTTGAAAGCTGCAGGCTAGGTAAATGAGAAACCCCTGATCAATGGGTTGTCTCTGGGTCAGGAGAATAGAGAATGGTCACCCGAAGTCAGAACTCCTGAGCTTTCTTCAGGGCTCATGGAATTTGACGAGACTTACAAAGGGTTCTCTGAGTTATGCCTGCTGGATTTCCATCAGCAATTCCTTCAGAGATCCTCTCAACACATACAAACACAACAAAGACAAGACAGACCGAAGGCTTTCCAAACCAAGATCCCTAACCAAAAGTTCTAAGAGTATTCCTTCCAAACTAACCTCTTATTTTCCCACTTCCATTTTCCATTTTCCATTTACCTCCTTCAAACCTTCCAGATTGAGGAGAAATCTCTCAAACCAAGACTACTTCTATTAATTAGGAAGAGCCAATTGAGACTCCCAAAGGTGCCAAACCAAGACGCTGAAGGATCTGGACCAATCAGGAGAAGAAAGGAGGTATTGGCAGCAACTAGAATACTCACCAAATTAGACACTCCATAATCAGAATACATCTACAGGCACTCCATTATGGGACTACAGACTCCTCATAATGGGGATAGAGTTATGGGATGTCTTCCCAAGACTATTTCTCTATTGTAATCAAATCCATGCACATTGGGTTGGCAATGACCCACTGGTAGAAACAGTGTCAGAGTCAGCCCCCAGTCCAAGAGAACTAGGTGGCCACTTGGCTGGCCTCCAGATCCATCACTGAAGTGAGGCTCCTAAACCACAGGCAAATAGTCCCAAGGGCAACCTCTGCTGAGCCCCCAAATTTGTAAACACCCAACGTGTTAAACTTGCCACTGCCTAGAAAAAGCCAATTTATCAAGACAGGGAATTTGCAATACAGAATTACTCACACAGAGCTGGCTGTGTGGGAGATCAGAGTTTTATTATTACTCAAATCACTCTCCCTGAGCATTCGTGGATCAGAGTTTTTAAGGATAATTTGGTGGGTAGGGGCCACTGAGTCAGGAGTGCTGATTGATGGGAGCAGAGATAAAATCAGAGCAAGTTGAAGCTGTCTTCTTTTGCTGAGTCCGTTCCTGGGTAGGGGCCACAAGATAAGATGAGTCAGTTTATTGATCTGGGTGCTGCCAGTTGATTCATCAAGTGCAGAGCCTGCAAAATATCTCAAGCACTGATCTTAGATTTTACAATAGTGATGTTATCCCTAGGAGCAATTTGGAGAGGGTCAGAATCTTGTAGCCTCCAGCTGCATGACTCCTAATCCATAATTTCTAATCTTTTGGCTAATTTGTTAGTCCTACAAAGGCAATTTAGTCCCCAGGTAAAAAGGATATTTGTTTTGGTAAAGGGCTGTTATTGTCTTTGTTTTAAACAACAAACTAAGTTCCTGACAAAATTAGTTTGACCTTTGCAAAGGAATGAATAAGGATAGCTTGGAGGTTAGAAGTAAGATGGAGTTGGTTAGGCCAAATCGCTTTCACTGTCTCAGTTATAATTTTTCAATGGCAGTTTGAAAACCAAAGGCTAGGTTGTCAGGAGACCTGCTGTTCTGTGGGAACCTGCTGGTCTTCTGTGCTGGACAATGTCAGAAAGGGTTGTTGGGTATGTCTACAGGTGGTCTCTTGATGCAGAAGGCCAAGGGTGGGGAATCTTTGGGGATAGTGGTGTTGCTGTAGGTGAAACTGTTGCAGCCTGGGGATTTTTACCCAGCAGGCAGCTGTGGGGACCACCAACTCATTCTCCACTCTCCCTTGAAGAGATCTCCTTCTCAGTATCTGGCCCAATTAGTTAGTTTTGTCCCAAACTTCCTATGCCCAGATCACTAGGCAATTAGATGTCCTGAGCCAAGGGAATCCACCAAGCAGAAGCTGTGGCTGGCAGACAAACCACACTCTTCCCAAGCCAGCCCTGTGGTGGGAGGCACACCCGGCTTCCAACATTGGCCCACAAACCCATGCCTCTCTCTCCCCAGTGTTCTGAGAGTGAGGGCTTTTCCCTCACTTGAGTTCTGGCCACAGATCTCAGTTCTGCACTCCTAGGTTCTGTGCTCTAACTCTGGGGTGTTCACACCAGACCCATGGCTTTTTAATCCGGCCTCTAAATATTATGCACCAGCTGTGTTAGGGACCAAGATGCTCTCAGGCCATTGGCAAAACACTCTCACAGGGGTTACTGGAGAAGTGCTCCAGCACAGGTAGCCAGCAAAATGCTCCAGTGGGGGCCACCAGAAAGGCAATTCAGTGGAACAGTTGAGACTGTGCTACAAGCCTGCTTCTGTGGGAGTGGCCAGGCATGGACCTTTGGAGGGGCTTGCAAGTAAGGTGCATACAGACCTGACATCCCCAGTCTTATAGAAAAGACAGCCCTGTTTTTTCTAGATCTGGCAGTGAACAAAGGCTACAGCCACTCACAGCAGTATGGAGAGCCCTGGGAGATAGACCCCTATGGCTGTGTTTTGTTGCAGCTGTCTCTTTATAAAACACTCTAGGCTCTGTGAAGGCATAAGCTCTGTATCTGCCTACTTTCTGGGAAGTATCTCCAACTAGCTCAACTGTCGATGGAGTTTGTAGGATCCTTTGTAGCTAGGATACCACAGTGACAGTGGGTTGTCCCACAGTTATTTAACTCACCACTTCCTTAGGAGTCATTCAGGGCCAAGAATGAGTCGTGGTGCACACAACAACCCCTTGCAGGGCTCTTAGGTTCCCCCTCTTCAGCCTCATTGTCGGTGTCACTTCTCTATCAACTCTCAATTTTTTTTTCAAAAGATGAGTTGGATATATGTTCATTTACTTGATATTATTGTCTCATTTGGTGCAAGAGGCTTTTCCTGGCTATGTCTTGTTGGCTATCTTGTGCCTTCCTTTTCTTTCTTTAGATTGAAAAAGATACTGATTAATAAGAAAGATAAGCTGACTGGACCAGAGAAAATGCACACCCCAAGAAACTCACTGACTAATATGTGTCTGGGTTGAACTGAGTAATGATAGTGAGGAGAGAATTATATGATTGACACTCCTGGGTCTCCTCAAAAGGGTATGTAGTAAGCCATCAATGGGCTTGAGAGCCACTACAGTGCAGAAGCATAAAGGACTGCAGCACCACCCAGGAAAAAATTTGCAGGGCCTTAGAAGGAAATATAGTCTTTCAGCAAAATCAACTGACAGACAACAGATACTTAAAGACCCTCTTGACCCAGTACATTACCAAACACTGAAAACCATCTGAATAGCAACAGTTCTAAATCTGAAAGCAGATACCACAGGACACCTGGAATAGAAATAATTTGGGACCCAAAATATACACAGACTGGTCTAGGATTAATTCATTATCCAGTTGTGGTCCCAGAATTAATATAAAAAAAGAAAAAGTGCCAGTCTGCTTAGAATCCAGGTTCACATTACTCTTAAAATAAATGAAAATGTATTGATATTCTAGACCAAAAATTTTAAATTTTAATAGATATTATTGGAGAAAAGACTATGTCTTATCTCTGGTCTGCCCTTAGCATATTTATAGTTCAGGGAGTGATAATATCAATTAAAGTCCATATACTATGTGTTGAATACCCAAAACTTATAACCAATCAATGAAATGTGTTTTATCTTCTTCACCTGACTAACATTCCTTCATAATAATGTGGAAGATCATATCTGAGTGGAGGATACTTAGACTCTTCTGAGCTCTGAACAAGAATATGCTAGTAAGGAGAGAGCCAGCTCCTGGCCTTTGGCTGATCTCCCCTTCTCCACCTCTGCCAGGTTCAAACTCTCACCATGACAAGAGTTTTGCACATGAGCATGGACACAACAGCCTATTTAAGCTGTGTCCACAGTGTGTGACAAGAACCATTCTTTGTCCCCAGTCTTCTACTCCTAGGCTTAGAGATCAACGTAATTGCAGCAGAGCCCACCCTGTAGAGGATACATTGAAGAAGAGATCCATGTCTATGCAGGTCCTGGAATCAACTCGTGAAACATTTAGGCTTGGTTTTTCAGGTAGTGGATATCAGGACAATGATCTGGAAGGAAGGATATGGGATCAAGGTGACCATATAACTTTGGGAATTTTAGAGAGGGAGAAAGGGATTTTATGACTGACACTTACATAAAGGTAAGTGTCACAGTTCACTGAGGATAACCTAGAACTCAGACTTTTTCTATGATTTTTGTCTATGTAACTTAGAAGTAGTTATAGAGTTAGAGAAAAAATACAAATAGTTCTTATTATACAGTTTTTCAGTCATTCTCAGTTTTTAAATATAATTATTGTTTTGCTTTTAAAAAGCTTTAATGTATTGAAGTTTCTAAAAATAAAAATATTATTTGATAATTTGACCTCTAGAGTAAAAAATTGTAAAGTAAGGAGTCAATATCTGAATATACCCGATGAAGAATTATCCTTCTTATATATTACATGATCCAAATATAAACAGCTGTGGTTATTTATCTACAATCAAAAGAAGTTCCGTTGCGTGAAAATGCACTCTCAGGTTAACTGTTTAGAATGAGGTTGTTTTATTCAGGAAGGATTTGGTTTCATGGGTCCAAGAGTCTTCTGATAAGCCCAGCTTATAAAGGTAGGTTATTGTAAATGTACAGAGAACTCCAGGCATCCAATTTGAAGCAACACAGTTGGAACTCCCTCAAAACTGGAAAGTCTTTAGACAGTGATCCTCTCTCCACGTCTAGGACTGCATGGTCTTTGTTTTCTATTCCTCTGTGTACACATACATCAATATCTCCTAAGTATAACAGTTCTTCTGCTCAGTGTTCGGTTTCAGCTTCCTCAAATTTAATTTGCTCAGTGTTGGCATATAATGGTGCCATTGTTAGCTGGTTCTACTTACTTTACTGCCCACAATGTCCAATTTAAGAGTCAAGTCACTCATTTTTCTATTTCTTATTTCAAATTACTGAATGACAGAGTTTGGATATTTGTCCCCCCATATCTCATGCTGAAATGTGGTCCTCAGGGTTGGAAGTGAGGCCTGGTTGGAGGTGTTTTTGGGTCATGAGGGTGGATCCCTCAGGGCTTGGTGTTGCTTGAAAATAGTGAATCAGTTCTCATGAGATCCGGTTGTTATAAAATTATGTGACTTCTCCTCACTGTCTCTCTTGCTCCCATTCTTGCCATGTAAGACACCTGTTCCCTCTTTATCCATCATTATTGTAACCTTCCTGAGGTCCTCAACAGAAGCTGATAGCAGTGCTATGTTTTCTATGCAGCCTGTAGAACTGTGAGCCAATCAGACATCTTTTCTTATAAATTGCACCACCTCAAGTATTTCTTTATAGCAATTCAGTAATGACCTAACACTCCGATAAAGAATGGAATAGGCTCAAACTTGGACAACTGTCAATCCCTTTTGATGGTTCTTTATTTTTGGTGAAAATTTATTTTAGCTCTTCTTTACATAAGGTGGCAAAAGTCCATTTATATGTTTATATGAATTGAAAACTGCAGAAGGGAGATACATCTCATTTTCTTAAAGATAGTCATAGATCAAACAGATTTTTCTATTTTTAAGAGAGAGAATGAGAATAAGAAGAATTTATTTGGATTTATATCAATAACAACATACAGAGTTACATTATTAGATATTTTTTGAATAATTTGTTCTCAATTTTTTATAATCAAATTTTCAAAAATATTCACAAATTGTTTCTTAACATCTCAAACTTGCAGAATAGGTGCTTTTTGTAATTATAATACATTCTTTGTAGTTTTTTCACATTTGAAAAAATCCAGACATAGTTGACAACTATTTTATTTAGTAATTAACAAAACAGAACGGCTTGCTAGTTAATAAAATATATAAGCTATTAGTCACACAAATTACTACCATACAGGAGGAAAAAAACATTAAATTTCATGAGAAAAGCTAATGACAGGAAGCCTACACTGATTTTCACTTCTTTATTGGAGTAAGCTACTATGATATTAGAAACAGAATGACATTGTTATTAGCAATGTATATAGACTCAGAGAAAAGAAAAGAGTTATGAATATCAGAATGAGTTTTGTTATTGGCAGCTATGTTTGCTGTTATTTGATACCTCTCTCCTGGGCAGATACAAAAGCACACACCAATCAAATGTCTATCTGGGGTCTCTATTCCAATGTCTGTAGTTCTGCTTTTGAATGTATTTATGCTATTCTGTTATGAATACACAGATTGCTAGATATTCTGGCAGTCTTACACTACTAAATCTATATTCTTTGAATGCCAATTTTAAAAAGACTCCTTAGAAAGGCTTCCTGGGTTAAATTCTTCCCCTGATATTTGCTAATGGAAGAAGTCACTTTGAAGATTGCCTCAGTTTATTCATTTTTTAAAATGAGGACAATAGTTGTACTTATCTCAAAATTGTTGTGAAGATTGTATCTGGCATTAAGTACTCTGTTTGTGTGAGCAATAAAGATGATGTTATGACAAAAATGATAGGGAGAAAGATTCCAACACTAAATATTGTGGAGGGTAGAAGAAATCAGAGATATGCCATGAACTTAAGGAGCTAAAATATCATCACTAAAAAAAGAGATAATGAAACCATTTTAAAGTCTACTAAATTGAAATGTCACTATTTCTATATTTGAGATTTACTGTGTGCAGTATTTATAAATAATGGGGTAAAAATCATAAAAATCAGTATTTAAAGAAAAAAAAAATGCATCATATGAAAAGTTACCCGCAAGAAACAAAATAACTTTCAGAACAGGGCTTAACCTCCCATTAACCTATCTAAATTTTCTTAAGTATAGTATTCTAAAATACTTTTGTAATTCAATAAAAGCATAGAATAATCATTTATTCATTCTTTTTATTTAAAACATACTATGTATAAGCTGTTGTAAGTATCAATTTAGTTCTTACAAAGAGTAAGCACTGGAGATTAATGTAAAATAAGACTTTACCTGTCTTTGAGATTAGCTTCACTAAAGAAGTAATTCTTAAGGTATGCACTAAAGGATGAATAGGATTTAGCTAGAAAACCAAGTGGAAATACAAGTGTTTCACTAACAAGGACAGTACGTTCAAAGGCCAAGGGCAGGAAAGTTAAAGGAACTTCTGAAAAACTGTGAAAAGCCTATTATTAATAGCTGAAGAGGAAGAGTGATGGAACCTAAGCCTGGAGAAGTTTTAAAAATGACTAAAGTACTCAAGGCCTATTAGACCATGACAATGATTGCTTATTTTATTCTATGAATAATGGGAAGTAGTTAAAATATTTAAAAGCAGCAAGTGAAATAAATTATTAACTTATTTAATAATTTAAATAAATTTAAATTATTACATACCAATGTTTATCAATATATCATTATGATCAATATATTAATATTTAAAATCATGGAAATTCATGTACTTGTTTATGGAAGGACTGCATAATAAACAGCAAAGTAGACCTTGTCTAAGAAGAAGAATGAGAGTAAATATTTGTAGTACTCATCTAAGCAATGTCCCAGGAAAAAAGATTCCATGCCATCTAATATTAGGAATTTCCAGACTTATATACAGGACCTTTGCTTTGTGTTTGTCTGCTCGAAATTATAAAAGAGTGATTATTTTTCTTCTCATTGGCCAAATGAAATTTTCTGATTGTATCTTTACAATGCTCTAGAATGCAATATTTTCAGTGTCTATCTACTACATATTCTCAGTATTTTGAAGATTTGGGGAAGCATTTTTGTTGCTTGTGTGACGAAAATTTGACGTGTCACATGTGTATCTATATATCTGTCTGTAGACCTATATATTTACATCTATCTATACATATACACACTTACATTTAATATACATTCAATCCCTTCCAACAAAGTTATCAATATGTACTTGAAGAGTACTATGCTTCTATGTTTGAGACACAACCAGTGATATTATTGCTATGGGGCAGTATTAGCTTGAAGTTGTTGAATATTTAAATTACTAAACTTTCCTTGATCTTATTCTATACTTAACAAATCATTTTGATTGTGATTTTGTTGCCCATGTACTTTAAGTATCAGTAGCAAAACCAACTTACTAAGTACACATAGGAGTGTTCAGGGCTGTGTTGGAGTTATCAGCAGCTTTCCTAGATTCTATACCTAGTAAGCTGCAAACGAGGGTCTCTAATATTGATCTCTACATAACTCTGGAGTCCATGCACTTAGAATCATGCAGAACTGAGGCAAATGCCAGTTAACTATAGTGTTACTCATTCTACAGCCGCAATAAGTTACTTAAACTCATCACTAAAACAGGTAAAGCATTATTAACCTCCTGAAGTTGTGGAAAGGAATAAGCTGGATATATTTAGTGTTCTGCCTTGTACATAGTATGCATTTAATAAACTGCAATTTTGAGTGTTTTTGCTTTAGTTACCTGTGCATTTTCTATTCTTCTTGGGGCCCTGATAAGGATAAATGACTGGGCTTATACAACAAGCACTGTAGCACGAGGTTGTCGTCTTATCAGCTTTCTCTCAATGAGCTTTTCATAACCTTAGTTCATCTAATTTTCAGGGAACACTTTCCTCTCATGACTTATGTTCACAGATACGTTCAGGAGTAAGAAGACAAGTGCATGCAGTCAAAGGACCTATATATTGAAGAAAAGCTAAATATCTAATGAATATTTACTATGTGCAATTATAAGGTATAATGTAGAATATAACATATGTATAATTATGGTGAACAAACAGTTCAGATTAGCCTTAATAACAATACTTTTTGAAGTTCAAGAGTGATGATTCACTAAAATTATAATTAAAAGTGATTGGATTTCAAGGATTCCATTGATAAAACTTCACGAGTTAATTTAAAAAGTGTGAATGTTTATATATTGTTGATATTTCATTTGGGAAAGGTTAGGAAAATACTGTCCACACAGCTACATATACTGTCAAAAAATATCAAATCAATTGAAACCAGTGTTCTTCTGCTGTGTTAGGAAACGATCATATTAGATACCCTATGAGCTTTTTCAAAATATATGATACTATCTACTGGTTTCCCAGCTTTAATCCACAAACCTCCTAAATGCAGGAGAGTCTCCAAGAGTTCAGAATAAGACAGAGGACAGAGAGCGTGTGCAATTTGGGAAACATTCCCTAACACATTCAGAGAGGCATTTTTTTCCAGCCATTTCCAGGCAACCTTATGATCTCATCAATTTAATTGTCAAAGCATAAGTATCCAATCACTTATTTTCCACACAATGCACTTCCCAAAAGTCAGTAAATCTGAAATAAAATTTTGTCTCTCTTTTGTTCACCTATGTTTGGTAGTAGGTTAGGAAGAAATTTCTGACTTTCCAAGAATGACCTTATGGCCATTTCTATTCTAGCTATCATGTTTTACACAGAAGGCTTCAGAAACTTTTTCCAAGACATACAATTAATTTGTGAAAAACTCATGTCTGCTGACTTAATTAGTGCTATTTTCCAATACTTTGCATTCGAATGAAGCCATACATTTTGATCTTATCAATATGTTATATACATGACAGGAAAATCAGAATAACTCTCAGACTTCTTCCACCACAGGAAATACTGATAATTTTGAATTGTTTAAAAAGGGAAATTTAGTGACAAATATGCTTAATTGGGTATGTTAAATACTGTTTTCTTCTAAAGTTAAGTTATTCATTTTATTTGGATGTAATATTTACTTTTAAGCTTTACAAGTTCTAATTTTTTTGTTCCTCCAATATGATCCTGGTTAATATTTTTAGTTAATTAAGGTGCCTTTTAGGCAGGCATACAAAGTTGATCACGTCAGTTCTTTAGATAGAGCAGTCTGGAAGTCAAATAGAAGGATTTTTTAGTCTGGCTTCTGACAGTTTTTCTTCTTTCTACATTTGACTATGCTATTTAAATGAACATTTTTAGTAATATATTTACATGCTTGCTCATAAAAATGTAATTATGTTCTTTGTCTTCTAACTCTACAGTTTCCTGTCCCATTAGAGTAAGTCATGGGATTCATGCTTTCTTCTTCTAAAACCACCATATTGCCATAAGCCAAATATGATAAGTAGGAAATTTATCTGACAAACACATGGTGAAATTTCTGCCCACCAAATGGTTTTCAAATCACAGAATGAAAAGGAGCCTTGGGAGATGAATCTACAGATTCTGAAAGAAGCTCTGTTAAAATTACCGGAATAATCTCCTTCATGGCCCAAAGCAACATGTAAATTAAGAAGCAATACACCATGAGTGTAATGGAGCATGTACTTATAAATTCATGGTTCCATTCATCTCATGTAAACAGCTCACACATTGTACCTCCCAGGAATAATTACACAACACTAAGGAGTTTGAAATTATAAATATTAAGATAGAAAATTTTCTGTGCACTTCTTTGTGGAGTAAGTTTGAAAATATTAAGAAGGGCTATAATGTTTAATTGTTATAGTACTTTCTAATTGCATACTTGATAGGGTGAATGCCAAATGAATCAAAAAAGCTTTGGGAAAAATCAGTAGGAGAGATGTGCCTGTTGCCAGTTCAAAATAAACGTTTGCCAGCCTGTTGGCATGGCAGCAGTGTGTCTCATGACAAGGCGGGCTTTTAGCATTCAGGAAAGAACATGAGGCTTTTAGTGTTCAAAGTGCTAGAAACTGGATTCATTAAATAGATAAAAATTGACCTCTTCAGGAAAATAAACTATTAGCAGGAGACTGACTGAACAAAAGGTGTCTTGTACAAGAGCAAAAGGTATCTTCAGAAATGCTACCAAATGCAAGCTTTATAAAGCCATCCAGATTAGGTTGGGGAGGTTGTATGTGCATTTAGTATAATTTGGGAAAAGGATAAGAACAAAAAACTATGAAGAAAATACTGTGTAGAAGCCCAGAGATACTTTGAACCTGGGAAATAGAATTATGTCTTAAAATATTAGTTTTCAAAATTTTAGAAATATCTATGACATAAATCCCAAGAGACTGGTATTAAATATATTGGAAGTGTAAACAATATATTAAAAAAGTACTAATTTTATATCATAATAAGAAAATATTTTATGAGAACAGCTAATTCAATAGACCAAAAGCTGATTTTCTGATGTGATCACCAAGACTCTGAAATATTTGAGATTGCAAGGGCCACAGATAAATGTCAGAAAATCAATCATGGCATATAGCCTTCATTTTAATGGAATAAATATAGGTTTGGAAAGTGGACTGCTAAGCCTAGTAGTGAGCATGAGAAAGGGAACGCTCCAGAATAGCGTGTTAAATTACTGTTTTGGATAATCATAAAAAGGGAATAAAAAAGATAACATCATATTTCATGTTGTAGCTTCAAGTCATATCAAAACCTCAGTTGTAGGTATGAAACAGAGAAAAAGCAGAGAAGGAAATATAGCAACTAATCTGTCTGCTGTCCTGCATGATGCTAAAATATTAGAAAAGAGCAGCCAATCTCAAATTTAAAAAAGTTGATGTAATTCCTCCCCACCTCCCACCCCTTGCAAAGATGGTGAATTGGAGACATCGGTAGCATGCCTCTCTCACTTGGAAAGAGAAAATAGTATGTAGAAATTTACTCTGTGAATTGTTTTCCAAGAAGCAACTCAGAAACTTAACAGAATAACTTACAGAAACCACCGACCTTCGAAAGAAGCAGCAAGCAGTAGCCTACACGATGAATCAGACAGAACACTGTATCTCTAGAGGATGAGTGGGAGAGAGACTGCCTTCATGATGCACACTCCCACAGGGGAGCCAGGCAAACCCCGCCACAGGGAAGGCCTTAACCCTACCCAGTGCTGGAGGTGATTTAGTGAGCAGTGAGGAATATATGAGAAGGAGAGGCATCAGGGCGTGCTTTGCATTCACTCCCAGACTAAAGCAGGGACAGAGGGAAGCCATTCCAGATCATACCTCACAGGGGACCTCACAGAACTCTGCCAGCTAACTCAGGTGATGGGCACAGGTTGAGATAAGCTCCCAATGAAGATCTGCAGTCGAATATTGAATGGGAAGGAACCTTGATGAGCAGAATCAAGGGGCAAGTAAGAAGTGTGTTATAAACATGGGTGCAGGAGTTGGACACCTCAGCTTCATGGGCAGGGGTGGAGGGGTGTGGCCTGAAAGCACGGTTTCTGTCTCCATTGGGAAAGCTTATGGCCAGAGGCAGTTTTGAGCTCTGAGCACAGGCTGCCTGGAACCCAGCTGGCTGCCACTAGCAAAACACTGGTTCTAAGACATGCCTTTTCAAGTGTGTAGAAGCTGAGTGGGGCTTACTGCTGCCTGCTACCATCCCCCGTCTCTGTGTGGATTATTTTGTGCAGCAGGGGCAGCTGTGCTCCTCCCTGGAACATTTCTCCAAAGGCTAGGGAACTGCCTTCTGATCTCCGTTGGAGCCGATACTTGTGCCTGCATGCAGGGAGCCAGAGCACAGACTTACCTGGCCCAACCCCTACCTGGCCTCTCCACCCACCCTGGTAGGATAACACAACAGGAACATTTAAGAGCTCCATGGCCCTCCCTCTTGCCTGAGGCACCAGAGTACATTCCCTGGGTAACACAAGGAAAACATAAATTCCACTTCTTCCACCACTACCACCACAGCTGGTGCTTTTTGCAATCACCAGCTCCCAGATGGAGGTCAACTGGCATAGCCCATTACAAAATTTGCAGGCACAATAACACAACAGTAAAGAAAGAGAAAACTTTTGCATGATATCAGCTATTTCCATTGCCTAGATTACCCTGGCTAATCAGGAGGTCTTGAGTCCATGTGTCAGGTACATTACTACTACATTTGGCATCTGAGGAAGCCAATATACTAAGGCTATTTATAACCAAGGAAACCTCAGAGTCTATGTCATTCTCCTTCCACTCCTGTCAGTGCAGATGCTGGTACCCACTGCTAGGAGATTAGAGGGGAGGTCACATCACTGGATCTCTTACAGACATTCCCCAGCACCATCCTGGAGTGTGGCAGTCCCAATCAGCAGCTAGACCCAGAAGAGCCCAGAAGAGCACAAGGATTCTCAGTAGTCTGTCCCTCAGGGGCTGTTACTCCAAGCGAAAGGAGAAGTGCATCACATTAAGGAAGCACCCCATAGGACAAAGAAAACCAGCCTGCAGGCCTGAGTCTCTGAACTCTCGACGTGTGAGAAGTTTATTTCAGCACAGGTACAGGTGCAGTGCTGGGCTCAGTGAGGAGTCTGCAGCTCTACCCCAACAATCAGGCAGCCACAGTGCTAGTGAAGGGTTTTGGAGAAGAGGACTTCTAATCCCCTTCTCCCACTACTGAAAACACAGCTAGGGCTTCTTCCATGGGAGCATGGCATGAGTGCAATACACAACCTTCCTGGAACACCTCAGGGTGACTGCATCACCTCAAGAGGAGTGCCCTCCATGCTCAGGCTCAGATAAGAGGTAGCGTCAAACTCGCTCTCTACATGGAACATCAGCATTCCTGCAGATAAAAAGGGGTGTTAGTGTGATCTGAAATAGCTGGGACACTGGGTCGGGAGTGTGACTAGGAGGCTGATTGGTTTTCTGCTGGCTTGGAAGGAGAGCTGGGGTAGCTCCCTTCCTCTCCTTTGAAAAGACTTCAGTGCATTTCAATGAGAGTTTACCCAGGCACCTGTATCAAGGCTGAGACCTCTTCCTAACATGGGGATATTGGATTTACCCACCTGCTTTAGCTGCAGCCAGTTTTTACCCATGGGCACCCCCTACTTGCCTGAAGCCTGAACTGTTCAACCCAATGAATAAAATACTGAGGTAAAATTTAAAAGAAATAAAGTCTTCCAAAAAATATGGAATTATGTAAAACAGTCAAACCTAAGTATTATAGGTGTTATTGAGAGAGAAAAAAATATAGTTTGGAAAACCTATTTGAGGAAATCATTGAGGAAAAGTTCCCTGGTCTTGTTAGATGTTTAGACATCCAAATACATGAAATTCAAACAACTCCTGTGAGACTCATAGCAAAAAAGACATCAACAATGTATATGGTCATCAAGGTATCTAAAATCAGTGTGAAGGAAATCATTCTAAGAGAAGTGAGACAAAAGCATTAGGTAACCTGTAAAGGAAAATCTATCAGCCCAACAACAGACTTCTCAGCAGAAAACTTATAAGCCAGAAGGGTTTGGGATCCTAACTTTATTCTCCTTAAACAGAATAACTATCAGCCAATAATTTTATATTCAGAAAAACTAAGTTCCCTAAATGAAGTAGAAATAAAGTCTTTCTCAAACCAGAAATGCTGAGAGAATTTGTCAATACTAGACCAGCCATAAAAGAAATGCTAAAGCGAGTTTTACATCTTGAAACAAAAGGTTGATACACAGCAGAATGGAAACAGAAACTCCTGAAAGCATAAAATTCACAGGACTTATTAAAAAACACAATGAAGAAAACAAAGTCACTAGTTAACCATCAATACTGTGACTGGAATAGCACCTCACTCTCAATATTAATGTTGAATGTAAATAGTCTAAATGCTTCACTTAAAATACATAGATTGGCAGACTGGATTAAAAAATAATTACAAACCAAATATATGCTGTCTTCAAGAGACACACCTAACACATAAGGATTCTTACAGACTCAAGAGAAAGAGATAGAAAAAAGATATTCCACACAAATAGAAACCAAAATTGAGCAGGAGTAACTATTCTTGTATCAGATAAGACTGACATTAAAGCAACAACAGTAAAAAAAAAAAAGAAAAATAAGAAAATAAGATAATTATAAAATGATAAGAGGATCAATTCAACAAAATATATAATTGTAAATATATATGCACCCAGCTCCAGAGCTCCCAGATTCATAAAGCAATTACTACTGAACCTAAGAATAGAGATGCACAGAAACAACGTATTAGTGGGGGACTTCAACACTCCACTGAAGCACTAGACAGATCATTGAGGCCAAAGGTCAACAAGGAAACACTGGACTAAAACTGTACTCCAGGACAAATGGATCTAACTAATATTTACAGAGCATTCTACCCAAGAACTGCAGAATGTACATTCTTTTCACCCTCATGAAACATTTTCCAAGGCAGACCATATGATAGGCCACAAACAAATCTCAATAAATTTTAAAAAATTAAAATCATATCAAATATCTTCTCAGACCACAGCAGAACAACACCTACCATGAACACCTCTATGCACAGAAACTAGAAATAAATTCCAAAAGGAACCTTAAACACTGTATAAATGCAAGGAAATTAAAAAATTTGCTCCTGAATGATTTTGGGCTAAACAATAAAATAACGATAGAAATTTAATAACCTTTTCAAAATGAAATGGCAGGAGTGACACAAGTTACCAAAGCCTCTGGGATAAAACAAAAGCAGTGCTAACAGGAAAGTATGTAGCACTTAATGTCTACACCAAAATGTCTAAAAGGTCACAAATTGACAACCTAATAAATTGACAATATAGAAATTTATTTCTCTAGTTTTTAGTCACACCTCAAGAAACTAAAGAAAAAAGGAACCAAATACAAAGCTGCCAGAAGAAAATAGATGACAAAGATCAGACCAGAACTAAACTAAATATAAACAAAAAAATTACAAAAGATTAATGAAACAAAAAATCTGGTTCTTTTAAAAGATAAACAAAACTGATAGACAATTAGCTAAATTAACCAAGAAAAAAATAGAGAAGATTCAAACAAGTTCAATTAGAAGTGACAATTGAGACATTACAACTGATGCCACAAAAATACAAAAGATCATTCAAGATTACAATGAACACCTCTATGTACAGAAAATGGAAAATCAAAAAGAAATAATAAATTCCTGGAGACATGCCATCCCTCTAGCTTGAATCAGGAGAAATGGATATCCTGAGCAGTCAATAACAAGCAGTGATTTTAAGTCAGTAATTTACAAAACTACCACCACAACCACCACCACCACCAACAACAACCCAGGGCTGGATGGATTCACAGCTGAATTCTACCAGACATTCAAAGAAAAATTGACACCAATTCTACTGAAACTATTCAAAAAGATCCAGAAGGAGACAGTCCTCCCTAACTCATTCTATGATGCCGGTATCACTCTGAGACCAAAGCTAGAAAAGGACATAACAGAAGTGGGAAATTACAGACCAATATCCTTGATGAATATAGATGCAAAAATTCTTAACCAAATACTGGCAAACTGAATCCAACAGCACAACAACAAAATAATTCATCATAATCAAGTGGGTTTCATTCCAGGGATGCAAGCATAGTTCCACATACACAGGTCAACAAATGTGATTCCTCACATAAAAGAAATTAAAAACAAAAATTATATGATAATCTCAATAGATGCAGAGGAAGCATTTGATAATATCTACCATCCCTTTACAATAAAACCCTCAATAAACTAGGTATAGAAAGAACACACATTAAAATAATAAATGCTGTATACAATAAATGCATAGCCAACATCATACTGAATGGGGAAAAGTTGAAAGAATTTCCTCCAAGAGCTGGAGCAAGATAAGAATGTCCATCTTCACCACTTCTATTCAACATAGTACTGGAAGTCCAAGGCAGAGCAATCAGAAAAGAGAAAGAAATAAAGGGCATCCAAACTGAAAAAGAAGAAGTCAAACTATCTCTGTTTGCCAATGATATGATCTCATACCTAGAAAACCCTAAAGACCCTCCAAAAGCCTTCTAGAGCTGATAAATGAATTCAGTGAAGTCTTAGTTTACAAAATTAATGTAAACAAATCAGTAGCACTGCTATACACCAATGACCAAGCTGAGAATCAAATCAAGAACTCAATCTCTTTTACAAAAGCTACAAAAGAATTTCACACACAAAGATTACAAAAAACCTGGGAATATACTTAACTAAAGAGGTAAATTGTAGTTGTCTACAATGAGAATGACAAAATACTGCAGAAGGAAATCACAGATGTCACAAATGGAAATACACCCCGTGCTTATGGATTAGAAGAATCAATAGTGTTAAAATAACCATACTGCCAAAGCAATCTACAGACTCAATTCAATTTTTATCAAAAGACAAACATTGTTTTTCACAGAATTAGAAAAAGCAATCCTAAAATTCACATGGAATCAAAAGATAACCGATATAGCCAAAGCAAATCTAAGCAAAAAGAACAAATCTGGAGGCATCACATTATCTGACTTCAAATTATACTATAAAGCAATAGTAACTAAAACAGGATGGTACTGGTATGTTATAAAGGTAGACACATAAACAGAAATAGAAAAGAATTGAACAGAATAGAGAATCAAAGAATAAAGCCAAATACAATCAACTGATCTTCAAAAAAGCATGCAAAATCATAAATTGTGGAAAGGACACTATATTCAATAAATGGTGCTGGGTAAATCAAATAGCCACATGTAGAAGAATTAATGGGAATTTTTATTTCTCACCATATATAAAAATTAACTCAAGATGGATTAAAGGCTTAAATCTGAGACCCGAAAACCATACAAGTTCTAGAAGAAAACCTAGGAAAAACTCTTCTGGACATTGGCCTAGACTAAGAGTTTATAACTAAGAACTCCAAAGTAAATGCAACAAAAAGAAAATAAATAAATGGGTCCTAATTAAACTAAAAAAGCTTCTGCAAAGCAAAAGAAATAATTATCAGAGTAAACAGGCAACTTACAGAATGGGAGAAAATATTTGCAAATTACATATCCAACGAAGCAGTAATATCCAGAATCTATAAGGGACTCAAACAAATCAGCGAGAAAAAAATAAATTATCACATTAAAAAATAGGCAAAGACATGAATAGGCATTTCTCAAAGGAAGATATACAAATGTCCAACAAGCATATGAAAAAAATGCTCAACATCATTAATCATTAGGGAAATGCAAGTTAAAACCACGAGATACCACCTTTACCCCAGCCACACACACAAAAAACATTATTAAAAAGTCAAAGAGTAATGAATGTTGGTATGGATATAATGAAAAAGGAATGCTTATACACCTCTAGTGGGAATGTAAATTATTACAACCTTTACGGAAAACAGTATAGAGATTTCTCAAATAACTAAATATAGATCTACCACTCGATCCAGCAATTCCACTACTGGGTATCTACCTAAAGGAAAGAAAGTCACTATATCAAAAAGAGCCTGCACCTGTATATTTATTGTAGCACAATTCACAATTGCAAAGATACAGAATCAAACTAAAAGCCCACCAATTGATGAGTGAATAAAGAAAATGTAATGTACACACACACACACACACACACACACACACACACACACACAACCATGGAATACTTAGCCATAAAAAATAATGTCTTTTGCAGCCACCTGGATAGAACTAGAAGTCATTATTCTAAGTAAAGTAACTCAGGAATTAAAAAGAAAATACCACATATTCTCACTTATAAGTAGGACTAAGCTATGTGTACGCAAAGGCATACAGAGTGGTATAATGGAAGTTGGAAACTCAGAAGGGGATAGGGTAGGAGAGAAGTGAGAGATGAAAAACTGCCTATTGGTTACAATGCACACTACTTTCAGTTGATGGGTACACTAAAATCTTAGACTTCACCACTATAAAATTCATTCATGTAACCAAAAACCACTTGACTCTTTAAGTTACTGAAATAAAAAATAAAAATAAAAGAAATACAATAAAATATTCCTTTGAATTAAAAATAAAAATTAAAAAATAAATAAAAGTTGAATTTAAGTTATTTGTGAATGATTTCCAAAGATGTCAAACATAGTGATTTGGTGGTGGTAGTCTTACAATTCTAAGTTGTCTGCCCAGTTTGTAGGAGGACTTCTGTTGGAAACAAAACTTTCAGGAAATGGATCTCAGTCCTGGGTGAAGTTTTCTGGTGATATGGTAGTATGAGGTCAGAATCATAGCCAAACTGGTTTCAGGGAAGATTCACATGTTCATGGAGTAATAAAATATTCTAAGAAACCTTCGAGAAAAGAAAAAGGATTGTACAATATTTACATAAAAATATTAAAAATGATTTTGTACCTCGTTGAATTAACTTTGCTAATATTTTCTTCAGAAATTTTGCTCATGAGAAATATTGGTCTATATTTTTCCTTTCTTGCAATAGCTTTATCTAGTTTTGGTGTTAGGATAATAATGACTTAATAAAATGTGTTGGGAAATGTTCCCTCTATTTCTATTTTCTAGAAGAGATTTTAATTAATGATTCACTGTCTTTAATGTTGAGTAAATCAGATCTGGATTTACTCAAATTATCTATTTATCTTTTCTTGAGTTGTAATAATTTGTGTCTTTGAAAGGATTGATTCATTACATATAAGATATAAAATTTATGATCGTAGAATTGCTCATGGTTTCCTTTATTGCCATATTAATGGCCATGAGATTAACCTCTCTTTCATTTCTGATAATTAGTTCATTTTCTTTTTCATTGGTTTCTCTAATGAGAGGTTAATTAATTTTACTGATCTTTCAAGGAGTTAGGTTATGGCTTAGCTAATTTTCTCCATTGGTTTCCTGTTTTCAATTTCACTAATATTTGCTTTAATTTTTATGCTTTATTTACTTTATCTTGCTGTAGGCTTACATTTCTATTTTTTAAACAGTTACCTAAGATGGAAACTTACATTATTGACTTCAGATAAATTTAAGATCTTTCATTTTTTCTTGTGTATGCATTTATACTAAAAATTTCACTCAAAGCACAATTTTACAATATTCTACACATTTTGATAAATTGTGTTTTAATTTTAATTTTGTCCAAAGTATTTAAAATTTTTTGAAACTTATTCTTTGAGCCATGTGTTATTTGTAAGTGTGTTGTTTAATCACCAAATATTAGGGGAATTTCTAGCTGTCTGTAACTTACATGGTTAAATGTATATATTTGATGTACTCAAAAATATTAACAAATTAAATATAACAGTAAATAAAAAGAAATATAGACCATGACAAGTGGAATTTATTAAAGGCCTAAAAAGCCAGTACAATATTAAAAAATCAACCAATGTAATAATATAACACACAACAGGCATGCAGAAAAACTGGATCACTAATTGCTAGTGGGAAATCAGCATGCTACAATTTTGGAGGATATTTTAGCAGTTTCTTACAAAACTATAAATAATCACCAGCAATCACACTCATGGGTATTTGCAAAACTGATCTGAAAACTTTAGGACCAAACAAAAACCTGCATGACAATCTTTATAGCAGCTTTGTTTACAATCCCTAAAAATGAGAAGCAGCCAGTATGTCTTTATATTGATATGTAATCGTTGCACGTATTTTGGGGGTACATGTGATATTTTGATACCTGTATACAATGTATGAAAATCAAAGCAGAGTAATTTGGTATCCATCACCTCAAACATTTATCTTTTCTTTGTGTAGAGATTATACAATGCTTCTCTTCTAGCAATTTTAAAATATACAATAAATTATTAACTATAATTTCCATACTGTACTATCAAATACTAGGACTTATTTCTTTTACCTAACTGTATTTTTATACCCCTTAACTAACTTCCGTTTATCCCCTCCTCCCCGCTTTCCTTTCCACCCTTTGGTAACCATCGTTCTAATCTCTACCTCCATGAGATTCATTCTCAGCTCCCACATAGGAGTGAGAATATGTGCTATTTGTCTTTCTGTGCCTAGTTTAATAGACTTAACACAATGACCTCCATTTCCATCCAGGTTGCTGCAAATGACAGGATTTCATTATTTTTTGTGGCTTAGTAATATTCTGTTGTGTGTATGCTACATTTTCTTTACTCCTTCATCCATTGATGGACACTTAGATTGATACCATATTTTGGCTATTGCAGATAGTGCTGCAATAAACATGGGAGTGCATGTACCTCTTCAATATGCTGATTTCCTTTCTTTTGGATATATATACAGCAGTGAGATTACTGGATCATATGGTATTTGTAATTTTTGCTTTTTGAGGAACTTCCATAATGTTTTCCATAGTGGCTGTATTAATTTACATTCCCACCAACAGTTTTTGCATACCTGTTGACTACTGGTATGTCTTTCTTTGAGAAATATCTGTTCGGGTTTTTTGCACATTTTATAATCTTTTTTTTTTTTTTTGCTATTGAGATGTTTGAGTTTTTTTTGTATGTCCTGCTTATTAATCCCTTGTAGGAAGAAGAGTTTGCAAATATTTTCTCCCATTGTGTAGGTTATTTCTTCACTTGACTCATTGTTTCTTTTACTGTGCAGAAACTTTTAGCTTGATGCAATCTCATTTGTCTATTTTGGCTTTGTTGTCTGTGCTTTTGAGGTCTCACCAAATTTTTTTTTTGCCCAAACCAGTGTTCTGCAGCATTTTCCCAATGTTTTATTTTAGCACTTTCATAATTTTAGGTCTTACGTTTAGGTCTTTAATCCTTTTTGAGTTGTTTTTTTGTATATGATGAAAGATGGGGATTTAGTTTTGTTTTTCTACATACGGATATCTAGTTTTTCCAGTACCATTTACTAAAGAGACTGTCATCTTCTCAATGGATGTTCTTTGCAACTTTGTCCAAAATGAGTTGGCTGTGAGCATAGGGATTTATTTTTGTGTTCTCTATTACATTCTATTGGTCTATGTGTCTGTTTTTATCTCAGAATCATACTGTTTTTGTTACTATTGCTTTGTTGTATAACTTGAAATTGGGCAGTTTTATGCCTCCAGCTTTGTTCTTTTTGATCAGCCTTGCTTTAGCTTTTCAGGGTCTTTTGTGTTTCCATACAAATTTTAAGGCTTTTTTTTCTATCTCCATGACGAATTTCATTGGTATTTTGATAGGAATTGCATTGAATCTCTAGTTACTTTGAGTAACACAGATATTTTAATAATATTAATTCTTTCAATCCATGAGCATAATGTATGTTTTCATTTTTTGTATCCTCTTCAGTGTTTTTAATCAGTGTTTTACAGTTTTCTTTGTAGAGATCCTCCACTGCTTTGGTTAAATTTATTCCTAGGTGTCTTATATTTTGTAGCTGTTGTAAATAGAATTGCTGCTTTGATTTATTTTTCAGATTGATCATTGTTAGGGTATAGAAATGCAATTGATTTTTTGCATGTTGATTTTGTAGTCTGCAACTTTACTGAATCCACTTGTTAGTTCTGAGAGTTTTTGGTGTGTTCTTTAGGATTTTCTAAATTTAAGATCAGATTATCTGCAAACAAAGATAATTTGATTTCTTCTTTTTGATGTAGATGTCCTCTATTTGTTTTTTTTTTTTTTTTTTTTTTTGCTTATTTGCTCTGGCTAGGACTTCCAGTGCTATGTTGAATAGGAGTGGTCAAAGAGTGTTGGTGAATGAATAATAAAAAAACTGTTATGTTCATACAAGGAATACAATACAGTGATAAAAATAAACGAGATATTCATCCATGAAAAGACATGAATGAATCTTAAGGGCATATTTCTCAGTGAAGGAAACTAATTCTAAAAGTCTGCAACTGTGTAATTTCAATTATACAACACCATGCACATGCAAAATTATGCACACTATAAACATATCAGTAGTTACCAAGGACCCGTGGTTTGAGAGAGGAAGCTTCAGTAGGTAATGTATCTCAGATCTTTCTAGGGCAGTGAAACTATTCTGTATGATACTATGAAGGTGGACACATGACACTATGTATTTGTTTAAATCCATATAACTGTACATTGCAAAAAATAAACTTAATGCATGCAAATTTTAGAAAATTATTTAGGAGATCCAGGTATTCCAGTATAGAATGAAAAAAAACTAAGTGTCTTAAAATGTATGAAACAACTTTACTGAAGTTATGTGGGAAAAAGTGCTCACTTAAGTCATTTTGAAAATGAATGGAATCTATGTGATTAAATGACATATTAGCACTGTACTGTTGTTGATAATTTTTTTCTGTGAAGATATGGGTTAACATTCTGAAACTATTATATATATATATGGAATCTGTAGTTACTTTGAGTAACTCATATTTTAATAATATTAATTATTATATATAATAAATAAATATATATATATATGCCCACTGGAGTTAAATAATTACACAGATGACAGGTTGTGAGAGCCAGGTTTTTATTATTGGAGTGACAGATTACAGATCAGAAAGGGGAGGAGTGTAGAATCATCCAAGTGCTAAGGGAGTAGAGTGGAAGACATCGGTATGAATTCACGTTTAGCTTACTATAGCTACAGGTGGTTACACATAGAAATATATGCATATATATACATATATACATATGTCAGTATACACACATATTTGTCCTTGTTCTGCCAGCTGACAGGGCCTAGGTTTAATGACACTCCAGCAGCAATAATCACACCTAGAGCCTAGATCTTGGTTCCTAATACAACTTTTCAATTAAAGAAACCAGAGATTCTTAAAGAAATGGTTGATTCCAAGACTAGGTCAGAGGATATGCAAATTAGCCTAGAGTATCTCCTAGTGCTATATAAAACTGTTCAAAAATAAAGTTTATACAATAAATATAAATTATATAAACTAAGGAAAAAACTTTGATAAACAAGATATCTTTAATATTTAAAAAAATATAAAAGTGATGGGCTTTTAAGAGATTACTAACCATCTTTTCTTTAAAAAAATGCTTGTCTTTAAATCTGTTCTGTATTTTTCCATACAAGTATAACATATTCCCTTTTTCCTAAAATTATTACAACACATTTGAGATATAAACCAGCTTTAGAAAAACTTGAATGATTAGAAATAAGAGTGAAGTCACCCTAAACTATATAAACTACTCCCATAACACCTCTGAAGTTAAGTAGGAAAAACTAATATGATTATGGCATACTTAAAATCCCTCTCTTTGGCCTCCTCTTACACCAAAATAGATCATTTAGACAGAAATGATTATTTTGTAATTTAATCCACTGATGTCTTTCTTTTTAATAAGCATTCTATTTCTGAAATATAAAGCAAAATGTTATTACAGATATTTTTAAAAACAGAATAAATGAAATTATGAATTTTTAAATATCTGATAATTCCAGCACCAAAAACTTATTCCTGTATTCCATCTTAAAGTTCTACTTTAAAAATATGTATGATTACTCTTGTTTCAAAGAGAAAGTTTTAAATTATCTAGCCATACAAATACCAAGATTTTTAGGACTAAAAGCTTTATTTTTTACAATTATATATACATCTGTATGTATTTGTATATTTATATGTATATGCCTATGTTTTCGTGTATATATGTATATACATTTGTGCATGCTAAGAATGCATACAGGCAGGTTAACTATTCTTTGAGCATGCAAACTGCTAAATAAGATGGGACATACTATTACACCCACTTTGACTGCTGCACTGAATTTGTATCACAATTTACATACAAATTTTATTTTCATCTATTGGCATATGACACATCCTTGTCATGAAACACCATCATTGCTTTTCGCGTTAATGAATTTTTCACGAAAGCCCTCTAACTCTGAGTAATACAATGTAGCATATTTTCTAGCAAATGGGTTCACTTTTCTTACCCCAGGGGTTCCCACTCAGCCAACCTCCTAGACCATATTTCTCATTATGATAAAAGCATCACTACACTAAATAGCAAGAAAAGACAGATAGGCTATTCCTATTTAGCAGATTCAACTTCAAAAGGATGCACTTATCACTCTTTTAAGAATGTTAGCTACTGCTTTCCTCAAACTAGTGTTACCATAGAGGTTCAGGAACTGGTAATATCAATGAACAATCAGAGAACTTTTCCTTCAAGAAGGACCTCTTCTTCTAGCTTCAGAGTGTAGATTCCACTTACAGAAAAAAAGCAAGGCAACTTCTCATCCTAGCAGTAATTTTCCTTATTGTATATTCAAACCACAGATGAAATTTTAAGATTAACATTATTTGAACAAGAAAAAAAAATCTCTTGTTATTTTAATGTGTGTATGTGTATGTATTTAGAGCTGCTTTTAAAAAATTTTATATTTATAAATTACATGTTATCAAGTAGAAGCTGTGGAAACAAAAATTTAAAAATTATCTAGAGCTAATAATAGTTAAATAGAATTAGAGAATAATAGTTGTTCATGAAAATTAAATATTAATTTATAAGTAATATATTTTATTGTGTACTTATATACATGTGTTTATGTTAGTATATATTAGTGTTATACTGTATGCATGCATTGCTTTGTAATTTTTTATAATTTCACTTATTAATATGTTACATGCCCTTTAAGATATAATTCTTACTATTTTTATATTAGTCTATACTGTAAAATAGCTATAGACTTTATCTTAATTAACAAATTATTTGACATTAGACATCAATATTATTTTCATTTGTCTCTACCATGAATAAAACTTCACAGAACAATCTTGAAATTATATCATTGTATGGGCGTCTTATTAGTTTGTGAAGACAAAGTAGTTAAAGAAAATTGGCTGGGACCAAAGAACTCACCATATTTAAGGGTTTTTCATGACACAATCTGTATTTAAACTTATAAATATTTACATACACAGCCATCCTGGGGTACCTCTGGGGCACTGGTTCCAGGACCACCCCGTCTACCAAAGTCCGTGGATGCTCAAGTTCCACAGTAGGCCCTGCAAAAGCCAGGATTACTAAAGTCAGTCTCTCAGTATCAGTGGTTTCCACATCTCACAATTACTGTCTTTTATATATGGGGCTAGGTCAATATGAGGAGTTAGAACCCACGAATATCAAAGGGCGATTGTGTGTTATACACACACACACACACACACACACACACAGATAGAAATGCACATGCCTATATACATATATTTGGTACTAATGTGAATTTAAATTGTATACATTTATATGAATTTATGTATATGTGCATGTATTCATACATACACATATGCATATACATATAGGTATAGGTACGTATACCTATACCTATATGTGTATGCCTATATAACTATATTTATGTGTGTATTATGTCTGTGTTTATACATTGATATACATTGATACAATTTAAATTAACTATCAAAACCTATCCTATAACATTTTGTTTTTAATAAACAGATTATATTATCAATGATGTTTTATTTTCATGGTTTTTTTGGGGGGAGGGAAGGTTATTTGGAATATGGAACATTTTCTGAACTTACCTTGATCACTCATATTTTAAAGGGTAATATCTATTTGTGTTAGATACTACTTTTTGTTTTGAGATGTTTTCATTCTCTTGCTTGTTAAAGCTCATTTTCATAAAATACAAAAAGGTGTTTACTTATGATTAGATGATAACTCAATTCTAGTAATTATATTTTAAAATTATGTTCCATTTTGAAGGTCAGGATTTGAAAGAAACAAAAACAATGCAATTTTAACCAACACAATTTTAGATTTTTCACTGTTTAAAAGAGATCACTCAAACTATTAACTCAGAAAATATTCAACAGAAAACAAAGAATAGGTCCAAGAAACAATTGCTTGTTATTATGAAAACTTTAACAATTGGAGTAAACTCTAAAGGGCGTAAACAGTTTTGTCAATTATACCCAAAATGAAGCTGCAAAGCAAGCAAAAAACAATAGTGTTTTGAAAGGTTTGCAACAGTTGGTTCAACTAATGCATAATGAAATCAATACAGTGAATAAATTGATATACCAGAGGTCCTTAAAAGTCATTTTGAAAGAATGTTAGCAAGACAATTTGCCAAATCCAAATAAGAAAAATAGAAGGCATTTGAAAAGTGTTCAATGAAGAGTAACTGAGAGGTAAACACAATGATGCTAAGTCAAGTTAATTACCTGATATGTAGAGAAAACATTGGCAATGATTAGAGAAAAAGTTTGTAAATAACAGCATACAATGTTACTTCAAAGACAGAGTATTCTTATAGTTCCTTTTCTGAGTATTTCAGTTTATTTGCAACAAATTTGTTTAAATGTTTAAAATATTGTGTTTAACACAGCAAATCATTATTGTTTCAAGTTAAACTGAATTAGTGATTTTTAAACCTTCATATGAAGCAGGCTTTGAACTAGATATTTTCAGGTATAGTTTTTAAATCCTTGATTGCAGAATGAAATATGCCACTACATCTTCCCCAACATATGTCAAAACCATGTTTAGCTATAGATTGTGGCACATATAAAGTCAAACTCACAAACTGATTTACTTTATAATAATGAAAACTATTTTTTTCAATGATAGTAAGATACAAGGGGTATTGTAGTTTTGAAAAGATAGATGTTTATTCACAAATGAATGGATGAAGAGAATGTGGTGTACACATACAATGCAATCTTATTCAGCCTTAAAAAAGAAGGATGTACTGCAATTTGCGACAATGTGGATGAGCCTGGAGAATATCATGTTAAGTGAAATAAGCCAGACTTAGAAGAACAAATAATGCATAACATTTGTATGCTGAATCTAAAACAGTTAAACTCCTAGAAGCAGAGTATAAAATTGACTAATATCGGGGGCTAGGTGGAGAGGGAAATGAGGAAATATTTGTCAAAGGACACAAAGTTTTGGTTATAGAAGGTAAATTAAGTCCTAGAGATCTACTGTACAGCTTAGTGCTTACAGCTGAGAATGCTATATTGAATAGTTTAAAATTTGCTAGGTCTGGTGTTGAATGTTCTTATCACACACATACACACACAAAAAATAAGAGATATTGTGGTTTAACAGGAGACTTATTTTAGTGGTTTATGATAATACCTACAAGAGATTAAAGACAGAAGACACAAGGTGGGGGATGAGAGGCCAGGGAGGATTAAAAACAAGAAAGTGTTTTTGCAGGTGTTTTTATTCTCTAGTGATTACTACTGTTGGAATTATGAGGCCGGTATCACAAAAACCTGCTGAGGTAAAGAGTTTTATGGACAGGAGGATCCATTTCGAGAAATTCCTTTGTGAAGCCTGTAAGTTATGAAATATGTGAGGAAACCATGAAATGGGGTTCTAGAGTATGCATTCTTCTGAATTGCCTGCCTTTGTCTGATTAATTAACAGTAATGATATTTACTGAAAAACCATATTACATCTTCTACCTATTACTAAAGACTTGGTAAAGAGGTTACACTTCCTAATGGAGGTATTTGTATCCCCATTTAGAGATGAGTAAACATTCCCAAATAAGATAAATAATTGGTTCGATTTACAAAGCTGGGATTGAAATGTAGGTGTGCTATTATGCCCATAATCTAATGGTTCGGTTCCCAAAGATAATATTAGCTTCTCAGTGAATGGAATTGGAGGTGAAGAATTACTTTTTCAAATATTTTAGTAGATAGTACAGTCAATAGTTAATACTTGACTATAAGATAAAATCTATAATAATTTTATGGTGGTGATTTTAAAGTAATATGAATGTACATAAAGTATAAAAATCAAAATGATATTGTTTTTATGAAGAGTTATTTATGTGCTTAGTTTTTTAAAGTTTCTGAGTTGCTTTATTTTTTCTGTTTTGAAAATCGAAGAGCATACTAATCTGGAGATACCTTATTTTAGAGACAAGAATCTCACTTCACATTATAATTGCAGGTAAAAAAATATCAAAACATCAGTTCTTCAAGCCTCTTCTATTACCTGTGTAGAATATCTCCTTTTCTGATGTTTTTTCTTGCTTTTTTATTTTTACTTTTTAGTGCTTCAACTTTGTTTTTGAGTATCATGGAGCTTAAGGGTTATTAATGTCATTGAATCATTTATCTGTTAAAAATTGTAATTATTTTATTCAACAGATATTTATAGAGTGTCTACTCTTTGCAAATTCTGTCCAAGGCATTGCTATTAGGCTATTTGTTCTTGTTTAGCATAAAAATCCAGTTTGATGAACTGATATCTAATATTAATTTCAGATACTAAATGCGTTCCTAAAGGTTTAATTGAGAAGATGGATATGACTAGATCTGATAGGGAGACATAGCTGTTTCTATGTTGCCTGCTGAAATTATCTCTCAGGCTTCAAAAATATTCTTATTCAACAGCATAATGTTTAATTATTACATCTAAAACATAATGTATTTCTTTGGTGATAGCTTCCGATTAAATGTAAGTACGTATACTTAGGTTTTTTTTCTCTACTATGGATTGAAATGTCTACCTTTATTTTAAGTACTGATGAATATATAGCTTCTGTGAGTTAATTACAGAGGGAAATTTGGCTAATGATTTTTAGAGATACAATTAGTCATTCCTTGTTGCCCCCAAAGGAGTTAAATGGGTCACAACACAGATGAAACTGTTTCAATTAAGGGTCACATTGATTCTGAGTTCTGCTTTCCTTATGGCCTAAGAGGATGTCCACCATGGCATTTGGGAGTGAGAGTTTTATATTCCATATAATAGCTTAAAGCCTGTTGACTTAGGCAAATAGAATAAAACCTAACTTTTTACAGTCCCCTTCAAGTGGATGTGAGTCCTCTGGGGAAGATTTTGACAACTGGGAAGAATTACTGTGAAAACAGAATATGCAAATTGGTTTAGGAACTTCTCTTTATATTAAACAAAATTGAGGAATACTGAGTCCATTTGACATATGATATTACTTCTCCTAGAATCACCACACAGTGTTTTCAGGTTTGTATTGATAATCAAACTCACAAGACATAACATACTCTATTAATTTAATAGAGAGACACAGGGAGAAAATACAGTATACAAGGCATCTGTGTTTAAATTTTTAAATAATCTTTATTGAATTTTAAATGGACATGCAATACAATTTTACCAATTTCAAATGTATGATTTATGAGTTTTGACAAGAGCATAAAGTCATACCACTACTGCCACCATAATTTTGATATAGAACATTTCCGTTACTTCCAAAACATTCTTTTGTGCTCTTTTTTTGATGCCCTTTCTACACCGTGACCCTTCACAATCACTGCTCTGCCACTACATTTTTTCTTTATTAGACTACTCTCTAAATGAAATTAAACTGCATATACATTTTCGTGCCTGGATTCTTTTACTTAGCATAACGCTTTTGAGATTCATTAATGCATCGCATGTGTCAATAGTTCACTCTTCTTAGGTGCTGAGTAATAATCCATTGTTCAGGTATACCACAATTTATGATCACTGCAGCAGTTGATAGCAATGTTCATTGTTTTCAATTTGTGATCATTACAAATGAAGTTGCCACATTTTGTTATGTTATTGTATGAAATTATATGTCTGTTATTATATCTTGTCTAGATACCTAGAAGTGGATACTTTTGGTTATAGGTAAAATGGAGTAAGCCACTGCAGCTTGTCTCTCCCACTGATTACAACTAAAAACATTGAGCAAAATACATAAAACAACTACCTAAGGACTCTGAGAAGTAAGTAACAGCAGGCAGACTGGTGAAAGAAGCTAAAATTTGAAGAACAACAAAATGCTGGCAATAAGTTTCCTGGGTGGTTTCTTTTATTATTCCTTTATTCTCTGACAGGATGTCCTAGCAGGCTAAATTAAGAAAATGCATGGCAGGTGTTAAGAAAACTTTGAAAAGGATTCTTTCTGGCCAGAGAGCTTGTGGAGAAAAGTCTCTGCCAGCCCTAGAGTGTGGGAATGGCCATTTTTTACTCTCTCTCTCTCTTTTTCTCTGTGTGTGTGTGTGTGAGTGTGTGTGTGTGTTTTCTCTTTTTCTTTTCTGTCCTTGCCCTGAAGTAAGCATCAGTTATGGAATTAAACTGCAGCTGTGCAGTTTGAAAAATTTGAGCACCTAAAACTGTAAGAAAAACTTGTCTCTCCGAATACAGAAAATGGGATGCCTATTGTACTAAGAGTGTGAGAGGAATTATTTCAAAGAAATTTTTTTCTTTTTATATTTTTTTTTTTCGTAGATGCTTAATAGTTAATGTGGACCGTTTGTGTGGAAGCATGCAATGGTATGGAAAACTGAAACTCTGAAAGAAATCTGCATATATGGCCCATGATAACTGAGGTGGGGCCCTAGGAACTACATACTGGAGGTGGGGGAAGGGGGAAAGAAATACAAGAGGAAATATCCAAGGAAATATCTGCCAGGGGATTGCTAAATCTGTATGCAAACGGAGACAATTACTGGACTTTTTCTAAGGAGTGCATGGGGGGAACACGCCCAGAGAAGTACACAAAGACTTTGAGAATTAACCAGGATCTAAAGCATCATTCAAGTCCCAGATCAAACTCTAAGTGGCACACGTGAAGGAAAAACAAACAGTATAGCAAAGGCTTTGAAACTAAACTGATACTAAAACTGCTATGAACAGAAGATGAGAGACAATTTGCAGACCAAATTTAATACTTACTTGCTAAACCATAATAAAACAGAACTGAAATGAGCATTCTTAGGAGGATTTTAAGAGATTTTATGAGAATTTAGAGTCTCATACCATAATATTGAAAATGTTCTGGGCATGGCTGGGCGCGGTGGCTCATGCCTGTAATCCCAGCACTTTGGGAGGCCGAGGAGGACGGATCACGAGGTCAGGAGATTCAGACCATCCTAGCTAACGCGGTGAAACCCCGTCTCTACTAAAAATACACAAAAATTAGCCGGGCGCCTGCAGTCCCAGCTACTCGGGAGGCTGAGGCAGGAGAATGGCGTGAACCCGGGAGGCGGAGCTTGCAGTGAGCCGAGATCGCGCCACTGCCCTCTAAAAAAAAAAAAAAAGAAGAAGGAAAACGTTCAGGGTCATAATGCAAACATTCTTGATATCTTGATATACCAAAAACCAGTGGGAAAAAAAATCAATCTCCTTCTTCTTCTTCGTTTTTTTTGTTGTTGTTGTTTTTGAAAGGGGATCTCTCTATATCACCCAGGCTAGTCTCAAACTCCTGGGCTCAAGAGATCCTTTTACCTCAGCCTCCACTGCATCCAGCTTTACCATTTCTTAAGGAGAAAGATGATCCATGCTAACCATGAGATAACCTAGTTGTTGTTATTAAGCAAAACTTTTAAAGCAACCACCATAACAATGCTTGATAAAATAATTGTTAATATACTTGAATTAAAAAAATAGAAATTCACAGTAGGTAAAAATAAACTATATAAAAGCAAATATAATTTTTGAAACTAAAAACTAAGATATGAAAAATTTTTTAAAAAGATGGTTTAGTAGCTGGTTGGTGATAAAAGAAGTACGAGCCAGTGAAGTTGGAAACAGATCAACTGAAATGATCCTATCTGAAGAAGATAAAAACTAAATAAAATCGCCACTTCTCAGGGCCTATGCGACAATATCCAAAGGTCTAACTTCCATGTCATTGTAGTCTCTGAATGATTGGTACAGCAAAGATTTTCAAAGAAATAATTATGGAAAACTTCTCAAATTTGGTAAAATTAGTTGTACAGATTTAAGAGACTCAGTGAATTTCAAACAAGATAAACTCAAAATAAACCATGACTAGACACACCATTAAAATATTGTCCAAAACCGAGAAACAGGAATGCTTTTACACTGTTGGTGGGAATGTAAATTAGTCCAACCATTGCGGAAGACAGTGTGGAGATTCCTTAAGGAGCTAGAACCAGAAATACCATTTGACCCAGCAATCCCATTACTGGGTATATACCCAAAGGATTATAAATCATTCTACTATAAAGACACATGCACACGTATGTTTATTGCAGCACTGTTCACAATAGCAAAGACTTGGAACAAAACCAAAGGTAAAGAAAATCTTAAGGCTTTCAGACAACAGTGATACATATTGGGGAACAACAATTCAATTGACTTGGAGAATTGTACATTCGTAACCCTGAAGCCAGAGGACAGTAGAATAATATTTAAAATTCTGAAAGAAATGGACTGCCAACTAGCAGTTCTATATCCAGCAAAAATATATTTTACACATAAGAATGAAATAAAGATTTTATCTCATGGAGAATAATTGAGAGGATTCATCACCAATAGATCTGTTCTGAAAGAAATGCTACAGGAGGTTTTTTAGGCTGAAAGACATTTATAACAGAAAAACAAAAAAAAATGAAACTTTAGAAATTAATGAATTCTACTGCATGTAAATTATAAAATACATTTACAACGATTTCTAAAAGCTCTAGGATACTATTGGGTTGTGTTGTAAGTGAATGTTTATGGAAGAAACTACTAAACTGCTTTCTGAAACTTGTGTACCATTTTACATTTTCTCCAGGACTCTGTAAGTTCCAGTTGCTCCGGATCGTCGTCCAACAATGGTTTTGTTAGTTTGTTTTAGCCAATCAAATTGGTATGTAGTGCATGTACAACCTGTCAGTCTTATGAACATCTCCAAAAGTTACCACATAACACTGATGTTTGTCTCTTCATTAACACAGGGCTCATATAGCTGCCGAAGGACGAGGCTCCTACAGGTCACTTGGACACAGGTTAAGAAGGAACTTCACTTTTTATCAGTTTTTTCTGTCATTGTAGTCAAGTAAATCCAATGCTAACACACAATTTCTCCCATCATGATGTGGTTTTGCCAGGAGCGTCAGGCCACGCCTTTAATCCCAGGGCTTTGAAAGGCCAAGGTGGGAAGATCGCCTGAGCCCAGGAGCTCAAGACCAGCCTGAGCAACGTACAAAGATTCCATCTCTACCAAAACAAAAACCAAAAATAATTCAAATTAGCCAGGCATGTGATACATACCTGTGGTCCCAGCTATTTGAATGGCTGAAGTGGGAGGATTTCCTGAGCCCAGGAGGTCGAAGCTACAGTGAGCCATGATTGTGCCACTACACTCCAGCCTGGGCTACAGAGTGAGGCCCTATTAAAAAAAATGTGGTTTCACTTATCAGAAGTTTTTAAATTACAAAGTAAGTAGTACACAATTTCTCACAGTCATCTTATTTCAATAGTTCCTGAAGGATAAGACATCCAAACAACATTATTCCAGGTTCTGTTGTTATCTCTTATTTATGCTAACTAGTCTATTTATCTGTTTAACTTCATCTGCTCTTAACTTTTTATGTAGGTATTCTTGGGCTTTTATTTAAGATACAATGAAGATATCTCAAAATTTTTTATTATTCACACTTTAGGACTAATTTTGCTTGCTCTACTGCTAAGGCAATACCTTTTAGAGTATCCTACCAAATAACCTGTGAATTGTTAAGTTTTCCATTCTTGCTAGTAGAAACATGAACAGCACCTGGCCATTTTAGAGCCTTCGGTATTCTTTCCCTGCTCTTTTCGTTATAGGTGGTGGTGGTAGTTATTTCCATGGCTTCACACAGTCTCTTGATACATATGTGGTCATCAGTACTCAGCTAAAGATTTTAGCAGAAACCTCTGATGACTGGCTATCCAAAGCTTCTTCTCTGTGTGGCAGCTTCCTCTCTGATACTCTTCCCTGTGAACTCAAGACACCTCAGTCTGTCTTGGCTCTGAGCTCTATCTCTTCAAAATGTGGAGTCTATCAGCCTCTGACTGGGTTCACTCTTCCTTCTCTTTGCCCTGGAAACTGTCTTTCGGTGATGTGAGGCAATTTGGGGACCCATCTTCTTTTTTATCTTTTCTCAAGAATCACCTTTTTTTTGCCTGATGGCCTATTGCCTGAAACCATTGTTTTATACACTGTGTCCATCTTGTTTTGTTTTTATTTCAAAAGTAAGTGTAAGTTTAATCCTTGTTATTCTACCTTGTCTGGGAAACTTGATCATTTATTTCTATATGTGTTTATTAACAGCCTGACAGTAAAGAAGATTAATAAGGACACTTAGGCATAAATATTTAAGTAAAGGAGAATTTCCTGTTTGGGAAGGCACTCACTTACACACACTCAGAAAAAGGGAGAGAGATATATTTAGATAAACAAGCAAGAGATATATTTAGAAAACTATGACATCAGTTTCAGCTGGGGCTTGAAAACAATTGATGCTGCATTCCAATTATGCCACTTTGCTGGAATTGCAAAACGTTAATGACAGAAAACCTGCCAACCAACATCTACACTTCAAAGGAACTTGAAAAGGCTAAGAAAAGAAGCATAGGCGGAGTGCATAATTTTTTTGTTGACCTGTGAGCTTTACTACTTTAAGAGGGTAATGGTTTGTTGTTCCTGCTCTTCATCATACACTTAGTAGAAGGTACTTGAGCAGAATCACTTAGAGAGCTTGAAATTTGTCACTTGATGTAGACCAGTGTGCGTGTTCACCTTACAAACCTTAGAGCAAAAGATTTGCAAAGCTAGCTGCTGAGGGGTGAGCCAAATTTGAGATGGCTGGATTCACCATCTTGTACTTTCAGATTTTGTTAAACAAACATTTTGTCTGTTTCCTCTGAATTTGATATGACTTACAGCTGATAGAGAGTCAGGATAAGATTTTCTCAAATTCCTTTTAAGAGCAAAAGTCAGCATACTTCACCAGAGAAAAGCTAGAGTTATGTTCAGATGCAGAAGTGCAAGTAAATTAGAAAGCAATGAGTCAGGATGACAACCATAGGAAATTGAAGGTAAAAGGTTCCCAAGTGTCAGCTGATTTTCTGAAGAACACATAATAGCAGTCATAGAAGAGCATAAAAATTATACTGATTACAAGTCCATAGAGTATGATGTCTGCCTATAACACTACCTGTTAACTCAGCACTTGAGTGCCTATTTGCCTCCTCATGTTCACTGTGCTCCAACTTTGGAGTGTTCAGAATCAAAGTTGGTGGAAGAAAAATAGAAAGACAAAAAACTAAAATAGAAGAAATATACAACACCCCTTTCTTAAATGAGGGCTGGCTTCTAGTCTTCTGTCACGTGAGCTGAAGTTGGACTGGTTCAAGAAGGATGGAGAGGAAGCCACGACACTAAACCATTGGGTTGGATATTTTAATTCCTCATTAGAGGAATCTGAATTATTTTAAAATTACTAAAAATATATGGAACTTACCAGTGTTATATTTTTAGTAGAAGAAAGTAATAATAAATTAAGCTGAATTTTTTAAAAATAAAAAACAATCCTTGAGGATTATGTCTTATAGGTTATCCTGGTTCACTAAAATACTTTTCCATACACATATAAACACATACACAAAGACAGGGAGACAGAGCTTGGTCTTATAAATTTGGGTCTATATTATATATGACCTTGTCTGCCTGACTCACTGAATATGGCACAATTTGTTAACAGTAACTCCAGTTGATGAATCATGATTTCGACCTTTTTCTCCTATTGTTTTATATCTACGCTTTTTTCCCCCTGAAAGATTTATTTTTTTCTTATTTATCTGGATTCCCGTTTTCTGTGGTATGAGCAATGTTTTCTGTGTTGGGAAAACTGTGGAAAAACCAGTGGCAAATGGTGAATGTGGCACTAGTGTTGGTCAAGGGAGTATCAGTGTCTTAGGACTGTGTTTAATAGGAAGCCACACTTGCCACCAAGTACCCTGTGAAATATAGCAATTAGCAGCAGATTCAAGGGGAGTTAATTATTCAACAATATCAGTAGAGGCTACTTCGCAACAAGGTTTAATGTGAATGATTAATGATGCTTAGCATCCCAAAGCTGTAGGACTAAATATGTAGATCAAGGGAAGAGTACACAAATGTTTTAGACACTTCATCAATTTTCTAATTTTTGTCTTGACTTGTCCAGTGACTACATCTACTAATAAGTTATAAATGCTACAGACCCATCTCTAGCTTCTAAATCAATGATCACAGAGAAGACAGCATCTCAGAAAAGCTTGTGTAACCTGCCACGAGCACCCGCATCTTAGTTAACATGTCCCAGTAATACTGAACCTGCCTTCTTTATATCTTGGTTCCTCCAAGTTAGATCTTGGAACAATCCACCCACAGAAGTGTTTGCATCTGAAGGTTTAACCATTTGTAAGGAGGAATGGCTCTGCAATGGCTCTTGGGCTCTCAGTAGTGTGTAGCAGAAAGAATTTGCCGGAAGACTCACCTCTAGTATGCAGAACTCAGCACACACCACTGGTGGGTTTACTATATGGAGGACAGGAGCACTCAATGACTATGTAAACCACACAGCAGTACAACTAGAAAGAAAATAGGTATATCCATATGCTTACGCCAATCTTGCCATCTTCACTATTCATTCTTAGGAATATATGAATAATGGGGCTAAGAGAAGGATAGAACTATACTTTCCAGTATTTCTGAATATGTTAAAGTGATGGATATTCTAATTTAATAGACAGATAAAAATAAGAAAGAATGGGACTGATGTTCTCTACTGTCAGTTTTCTCAGATTCTACCAAATATTATCCTTGTTTTTCTCACAATTCCAAATTGCTGAAGTTTGTATATTCACCAGGTAATGAACGGTGTTTGTCCATTAACTGTAGATATGATTGAGCATTCAGAATGCTTTTGCCTCTTGGGATAGAGATCCTTAATCCTCAGTGGGTTTCTCTTCTCTTTGCTTGCATTTCTGTGGTAAAAATTCCAGAAGGTAAAAAGAAATTTCTTTTTACTCCCACAGCCTTTTCGTAATGTTGGAACACTTTAAACCTCAGATTATAGATAGATAGATAGATAGATAGATAGATAGATAGATAGATAGATAGATAGATAGACAGACACAGGTAGATAGACTAGAAGGAGAAATCTGCAGTGCTATGGTCTTCATGTTTGTGTCCTCCCAAAATTCATATGTTGAAACCTAATCACCACTGCAATGGTATTAGAGGGTGGGGCCTTTTTGGAGATGATGAAGTCATAAAAGGCAGATACCTCATAAGTGGGATTAGTGCCCTTATAAAAGAGGCCCAAGGGATCTGAGCTAATTTGCTCCTGCCACCATGTGAGGGTACAGCTAGGAGACTCCCTCTATGAACAACAATGTGAGTCCTCACTAGATAGCAAATCTGCTGGTGCCTTGATCTTGGACCTCCCAGTATCCAGAACTATGAGAAATAAATATCTGTTATTAATAAGCTAACAAGTTTATCATATTTTGTTACAGCAGCTGAAAGGAACTAAGACATGAAGTCAGGCTATTAATGTCTTATTTGAACCCAAGCAATCTTCAAGAATTTAAGGATATTTATATATGTTGACTAATTTGTAATTCACCCACCAGGAAACCAAGGTCATATCATAGAGGGATGGAATAGTTAATATTGATGGGGATTGAAATTTCCACATATCATTTACCTTTGTTACCCAAATTGAACATAATATGATATTAAACTGAACACTGTATAAAATCATGCATTGTTGTGATATTATATACATATTGGTTTCCATCTACAGTTTCTGGATCATAACTCCCATAGCCTTTTTATAATGTTGGAACACTTTAGACCTCAGAAGCATGCCTCAGAAAACAGTCTCTCTCTCTCTCTCTCTCTCTGACCTTCTCCTGCATTCCTGTTCACTTTTGTTTTTGTTTTTGTTTTTGCTTTACTTCTCAAGGCAAGAGTCTCCCCCAACATTTTTGTCTTGCACCTGGCTGTAAAGAAATTCCCTGACCTACCTTATCTGATTGAAGGTCATAAGACCCCCATTTCATAAGGCATCCTGCTCCATACCTGAGAGGAAGGAACGCTGCATGAAGAGACCAAGAATAGTATCAACAGACATGCCTCACTGGGTCCCCCATCAGTCTGTCAGTATTAAATCAGACATACCCCTTTGTCCAATCACATTTTGACATGATTTTCCATGAATTGATCATGGCTATCCAATGAACTCTTCATAAAAGGCCCAAGAGGACAGGGCTCAGGGAGCTTCTGGGATAGCTGAACATGTGCAGGTTCCTGGAGGAAGGCATGCCTGGGGAGGGCATGGAAGCTCCACAACCTTTCCTGTATACCTCACACTATGCATCTCTTCGTCTGTATCCTTTTTCATTTTATCCTTTTAAATAAACTGCTCAATGTAACTAAAAGTTTCTCTGGGTTCTGTGAACTGCTCTTTCAAAGTAATTGAACCTACAGAAGGAGTCGTGGGATTTCCCAGTGAGCCAATTGGTCAGAAGTGGAGATAAAACCACCTAGGCCTTGTGACTGGCATCAGAAGTTAGTTGGGGGGGGCAGTCTTGTGGAACTGACTTCCTCAACCTTCCAGGTTTGATGCTATCTCCCAGTAGATAACATCAGAATTGAGTTGGATTGAAGGACACACAACTGGTGTTGGCAATAGAAATCATTGCTCATTTATTGGTGGGAAAAAAGTCTTCACGCATTTGGTCACAGAAGTCTGCGTTGTTTGTTGTGGTGTTGGAAGAGAGGAAAAACAGTTTGTGTTTTTATTTTCACTCAATTGCATGAGGTAGTAATTGATTTTTAATCTGTATCCCCTAAACATGTTACAACTGTACATCAAAATGATCCTGAAGTGTTCTTTTAATAATAGTGACTTCTAAAAAACAGCATTATTGAAATATAATTAAATTAACATGCAATAATATATGCCCTTTTGAAGTATATATGCCCTTTTGAAGTGTATACGCCCTTTTGAAGTGTATTACCACTATTTAATTTTAATGTACTTTCATCACCCCCAAGAGAAAACCAACATGCATTAGCAGTCGCTACTCATTCCCATCTACCCAGAGCACTACAAATCACTAATCTGTTTTTCAGTCTCTGTGAATTGCCTATTCTGGGTAATTCATATACATGGAATCATAAAATATGTGGCTTTTGGTGACTAGCTTCTTTCATTTATAATGATTTTAAGGTTTCTCCATGTTGTGATGCGTATTAGTACTTCATTCCATTTTCATTGCCAGATAATATTCCATTGTATGGATATGTATGGACACATACATTCCATATGTATGTCCATTGTATGGACACATTAGCTTATTATTGCTGATTTAATGTCTTTATTTAGTAAGTCCAACAACTGGGCTTCTCAGGGACAGTTTATATGACTTATTTTACTGCCGATGGATTATGCCTATTTTTTTATGCCTTGAGTGTTTTTGTTAAAAACTAGACACTTTATATAATGCAATTTGGCAATTCTTGAAATTCTTTCCCAAGAAGATGTTGTTGCTATTTGTTGTTGTTTCTGTTGCTGTTGTTACTCATGAATTTCCTAACACAAATATTTATTGAATGATTCAATAATTATTGTGACTTTCCTAAATTCTGTAAAGTCTATATTCTTTGTGACATGTGGCCACTGAAATCTGCTCAGTTAGCTTGTCAACTAATGATTGGACAGAGGTTTCCTTAAGTTTCTTAAAACAACGTATTTTCGTTTTTTTTTTTCTTAGGGATGTTGCATGTATTTTGTAGCATATCTTCAACATTCTGGCAGGTAATTTTTAACTTTTCTTTAGTGTTCATTTTCTGCTTGTGAAAAGACTCTAAGTCAGCTAGAGGTGAAAGATCAGTGTTTTGTAGGTCATTTAGTCTGTCATTCCTGAGCAGGTGCCTAGCCCTGCACATGCACATGAACTTCCAGATTTCTAGGAATAGATCTCAACTGTTCAAATCTCATACAGGCATCTCAATTTTCAGTTTAGTTTTTTGTTTGGCCTTTTGTTTTGTTATCGCACCCTAATCAGCTGTGATATTAAATAATTGCCACAGATTGTTATCACCAAATGCCCTAGGAGAAAGGCTGCTTACACTCAACAAAATCTGAATTAGATCAATTAACACTAACCCTAAAAATCAGGTTTCCACAGTTAAATGCTCCTCAGATTGTTGTAAGTCCATTGTTAATATTCAGAGTTCTGAAAGTTGATTTTGATAATTTTTGCCAGTACTCTCATTGCTTTTAAGGAAGAAGTAGAATCTTGGGGTTCATTAAAATGCCATTCTGGAAGTACTTCTCAGTAACTAGTAAGATTCTTTGTTTGACCAAACTCTAGTCATTCTCCTAAATCCTATCCTCGTCCCATCTGTGCACTTCCTTGTAAAGACCAATTTTAGCAAGAATCCTAACAAACTCAGTTTAGCAAGAACACTCCACCCTTTATATCTGATTATCCTCAATATCCGATCAGGTTCTTTATCCTTCACAATCTCCCTGATGATATCGAATTACTCCAGCCTGTCTTCAGCAAGAGTTCAGTTAGGTTATTTTGGTTAGAATCTCCCTTATGATTGAGGCTTCCTCTGCAATTTTCCATCTGCTGACCACCTCTCTGTTCCTTGGCTATGAATTTCCACTGCCCCATGCTGTATTTAGAGCTGAGGTCAATCTCTTTATTCCACAGCAAAATTCCATTGCAATGATCCCAACACCAGTATCAGTAGCCTTCATCACCAACCTTGAATAAGTCTTCTATATGGTGCTTTAGCAAGTGGCACTGCATTTTTTTTCTTTAACACTAACTTAAATTTTCAATACGTGAAATATTATACCTGGAGGACAAGATGTTTTTTCTTTTTTCTACTGATTTTCCTCAGCAATTATTGCCTGGTACACAAAACAGCATTCAATGAATATTTCTTAAAATGATTCAATATATTATATTGTGTTGTTAAGTTGAAGGTCTTCACATATTTTAACTTTCAAGAAAAATAGCCCTCTCCCTCTCCCTCTCCTTCTCCCTCTCCCTCTCCCTCTCCCTCTTCTCTGTCTCCCTCACGGTCTCCCTCTCCCTCTCTTTCCACGGTCTCCCTCTGATGCCAAGCAGAAACTGGGCTGTACTGCTGCCATCTCGGCTCACTGCAGCCTCCCTGCCTGATTCTCCTGCCTCAGCCTGCCGAGTGCCTGCGATTGCAGGCGCGCACCGCCACGCCTAACTAGTTTTCGTATTTTTTTGGTGGAGATGGGGTTTCGCTGTGTTGGCTGGGCTGGTCTCCAGCTCCTAACCGCGAGTAATCTGCCAGCCTCGGCCTCCCGAGGTGCCGGGATTGCAGAAGGAGTCTCGTTCACTCAGTGCTCAATGTTGCCCAGGCTGGAGTGCAGTGGCGTGATCTCGGCTAGCTACAACCTCCACCTCCCAGCCGCCTGCCTTGGCCTCCCAAAGTGCCAAGATTGCAGCCTCTGCCCGGCCGCCACCCCATCTGGGAAGTGAGGAGCGTCTCTGCCTGGCCGCCCATCGTCTGGGATGTGAGGAGCCCCTCTGCCCGGCTGCCCAGTCTGGGAAGTGAGCAGCGCCTCTTCCCGGCCGCCATGCCCTCTAGGAAGTGAGGAGCGTCTCTGCCTGGCCGCCCATCGTCTGAGATGTGGGGAGTGCCTCTGCCCCACCAGCCCATCTGGGATGTGAGGAGCACCTCTGCCTGGGAGCCACCCCGTCTGAGAAGTGAGGAGCCCCTCCGCCCGGCAGCCTCACCGTCTGGGAAGTGAGGAGCGTCTCTGCCCGGCAGCCGCCCCATCCGGGAGGTGGAGGGCAGCTCCCGCCCAGCCAGCCGCCCCGTCCGGGAGGGAGGTGGGGGCCAGCCCCCCCGTCCGGGAGGTGGGGGGCACCTCCGCCCAGCCGCTGCCCCGTCCGGGAGGTTGGGGGGGCGCCTCTTCCAGGCCGCCCCTTCTGGGAAGTGAGGAGCCCCTCTGCCTGGCGGCCATCCCATCTGGGAGGTGTGCCCAACAGCTCATTGAGAATGGGCCATGATGACGATGGCGGTTTTGTCAAATAGAAAAGGGGGAAATGTGGGGAAAAGATACAGAAATCAGATTGTTGCTGTGTCTGTGTAGAAAGAAGTAGCCATAGGAGACTCCATTTTGTTCTGTACTAAGAAAAATTCTTCTGCCTTGGGATGCTGTTGATCTATGACCTTACCCCCAACCTGGTGCTCTCTGAAACATGTGCTGTGTCCACTCAGGGTTAAATGGATTAAGGGCGGTGCAAGATGTGCTTTGTTAAACAGATGCTTTAAGGCAGCATGCTCCTTGAGTCATCACCACTGCCTAATCTCAAGTACCCAGGGACACAAACACTGCGGAAGGCCGCAGGGTCCTCTGCCTAGGAAAACCAGAGACCTGTGTTCACTTGTTTATCTGCTGACCCTCCCTCCACTATTGTCCTATGACTCTGCCAAATCCCCCTCTGCGAGAAACACCTAAGAATGATCAATAAAAAAATAAAATAAAATAAAATAAAAGAGATTAACCAGTTTCTAGCAAAAAAAAAAAAGTATTAAGATGAACTTCAATTATAAAATCTTAAAAAAAAAAAAGAAAAAGAAATTGGGTATATGTACCATACTTAAGAGAGTAACTCCATTATTCTTTGGCTGTGACTTTGTGCTAGCAATATGCCTATTGCTATTCTCTCCATCAGCTGTCACTGTCAACATGCTTCTCTGTCCTTCCTTTCCCTCTGTTTTATGAATTATTTCTCTAATGCCTTCTGATATGACATAATATGACAAAATACAATGTGACATGGTAGTATATAAGATAATCTTTATTTAATTAAAATGTTCAATTAGGTCTGATTCTTATTTGAAATATTCCAATGACTTCTCATTGCCTGAATTATAAATTCCAAACCATCTATTCCATTATAGAAGACCCAAATATACCGTTAGTCAGAATTGTTTATTCTTTTTTGATACTCTCAGCAAAAAAGATCAACTGTAGTTTGATCTTTGTAGATCAACTGTAATTTGAGGCTACATGTTATTGAAGCTGAAAGTTAGGGCTTTGAAAGCTCATGTTTTGCCTCCAAACCCCATTGTTATTCCTTTTTAGGTGTGTAAACATTTCCTAGTAATGTCACTTTTATGAGTCTAATTTTGTTCATCTACAAAATGGAATAAATCATACTACTTTGACAAGATTATTAAAAAGGTTTAATGAGATAATGCATTTATTTAGCAAAGAATGAGTGACATAAGATGCTAATATCTGGTAGGAGCACATTTATAATTGGTAAGTACTAATATTAGTAACTCAATATTGTCATTCTTATCATACAATGTTGATGATGAAATTTCAAGTAGCATTCAATACTTTGTGATATATGCACGTCTCCCTTTCTATACTGTGAGTTGAGAGAAAACATGTACCATTCCCAGGAAATGTACCATTCCCAGGAAATGCTTATTTATATCAATTAGAATAGTAGTGCCTGGGGCAGATGATGTGCTCAGCAAATAAAAGTTGAATAAATGGATAAGATTAGTATCTACTTATTTCAGTGTATACACACGTATTTTACGAAAATATTTGAGGTATTTAAAACAATATAAACAACTCATCAATAACTGAACCTCTTGAATATATTTATTTGAGCTTATAAATTATCCAGATTTCATTTTGATAAGTTATCCTTTCTAAAATATTAAGACTAGACAGTTGCGTGCTAGACTCCGGACCCGGCCGGTGGTATGGCTGAGCCGACTAGTGATTTCGCGACTCCTATCGGGTGGCCTGCATCTCCCGGGCTGACTCCCACGTTAGGGCCCCTGACCGACACTGCCCCGCCGCGGGACAGCTGGATGTTCTGGGCAATTCTGCCGCCACCGCCACCACCGCTTACGTCCTCGCTTCCCGCAGCCGGGTCAAAGCCTTCCTCTGAGTCGCAGCCCCCCATAGAGGCCCAGTCTCTCCCCAGGGCTCCGCCCCTCTTTGACGCCCAGCTTCTTCCCGGGGCGCAACCCCCCTTCCACGCACAGTCCCCCCTTGATTCTCAGCCTCAACCCAGCGGCCAGCCTTGGAATTTCCATGCTTCCACATCGTGGTATTGGAGACAGTCTTCTGATAGGTTTCCTCGGCATCAGAAGTCCTTCAACCCTTCAGTTAAAAATTCTTATTATCCACGAAAGTATGATGCAAAATTCACAGACTTCAGCTTACCTCCCAGTAGAAAACAGAAAAAAAAGAAAAGAAAGGAACCAGTTTTTCACTTTTTTTGTGATACCTGTGATCGTGGTTTTAAAAATCGAGAAAAGTATGACAAACACATGTCTGAACATACAAAATGCCCTGAAGTAGATTGCTCTTTTACTGCACACAAGAAGATTGTCCAGTTCCATTGGAGAAATATGCATGCTCCTGGCATGAAGAAGATCAAGTTAGACACTCCAGAGGAAATTGCACGGTGGAGGGGAGAAAGAAGGAAAAACTAGCCAACTCTGGCCAATATTGAAAGGAAGAAGAAGTTAAAACTTGAAAAGGAGAAGAGATGAGCAGTACTGACAACAACACAATATGGCAAGATGAAGGGGATGTCCAGACATTCACAAATGGCAAATATCAGAAGTCCTGGCGAGAATCAGAAATGAAAAAACAATTATAGACAGAGAGCAGTCACTGGATCAGGCAATCACTTGTGTGATTTGAAGCCAGAAGGTCCACCTGAGGCAAATGCAGATCCTCTTGGTGTTTTGATAAACAGTGATTCTGAGTCTGATAAGGAGGCACAACATTCTGTGATACCCAAGGAAGTGACACCAGCCCTATGCTCACTAATGAGTAGCTATGGCAGTCTTTCGGGGTCAGAGAGTGAGCCAGAAGAAACTCCCATCAAGACTGAAGCAGACGTTTTGGCAGAAAACCAGGTTCTTGATAGCAGTGCTTCTAAGAGTCCAAGTCAAGATGTTAAAGCAACTGTTAGAAATTTTTCAGAAGCCAAGAGTGAGAACCGAAAGAAAAGTTTTGAAAAGACAAACCCTAAGAGGAAAAAAGATTATCACAACTATCAAACGTTATTCGAACCAAGAACACACCATCTATATCTCTTGGAAATGCTTCTAGCTCCGGACATTCGACATGAAAGAAATGTGATTTTGCAGTGTGTTCGGTACATCATCAAAGAAGACTTTTTTGGACTGGATACTAATTCTGCGAAAAGTAAAGATGTATAGGCGTCTGGTGTTTCAGCATACATAACTGAAGCATGTGAAACAGTATCATCCTCATTAGTAGAGGAAAACCAAAACCCTTTTTTCCCTCAAAACTGGATTTGTAATTAAATTGTAAGCCTCGTAGGATGTATGTTGGAATTTTAAGTCTTTCCTTTGGTTCTATGCAAATAAATACATAACTGATTTTTTAAGACTGTGTCTGTATTGTTGGGATTGAATCTAGTATTTGCTGGGAGAATTTTTTCTTTGTATTTATTTTAATGTATTGTTCTCATGTAAAAATGACTGATGTTGTGTCAGTTAAGAATTGAAGATAGGTTTAGCAGTAAAGAAAGCTTTTAAAAGGATTGATTCAGCTAAGCAAAGTTGGGCAGAGAAATACAGCCATTTTGTTTTTAATGCAGAAAAGGAAGATGTTCTGTAGCAGGGGGGAATATTTTAAAAATAAACCAGATCAAATTAATACAATCAGAAGGTTTCGAAATGTAAATATTCCTTATTTAAGACATGTTTATATTCACCTACTAGCACGAGTTACATAGCTCAAATATTGAATGTTTAAAATATTAATACAGATGGGGCCTCTGTTTTATGTTTAGATATAATTGAAGTACTTAATTGAAGCTTTTTAAAAATTGTAAAGAAAATGAAAGCTACTGAGATCTTCTTGTCTCCTATAATACCAGGGAATTTGAGCTTGTGTTCTAGTCATTGTACTAGCTGTAGCTATTGGTCTGCCCTTTTGACATACAGCTAAAAGGGACTAAATTTTTAAAAAATTAGTCTGTTATAGTTGAAGATTAACTTTTCTTAACATTGTGATTATTGAAGTTCATGAATCTTGCTGTCAAGGAAGAAAGGTAAGAAAGCTGAGAGCTCCTCCATGTTGGTAAAATCCTCTCCAGAATCTTGGAACACCTGGCATGTGACCCTAGTGACGTCACAGACCTGAGATGAAGATTCATGTTTAGCCAGTGTTTTCCAGCCTTGTACCCACCATACAGATCTGTTTATTCTGTTTCACCCTACTCCTCCAGTGAGCCCCATATTTTGGGAAATTATCTGCCTCATACATTAACTAATTCAATTCATATAACACTGTTGAGTGCTTACTCTGTGTACCTCTATTGTGCCTATATTAAAGGTATACAAATAAATAAGGCCATGTCTGACTTCAAGGAACTCAGTTTAATTTTGATATATTCAAAGATGTGATTCCCAACCAACTCAGGATGAAGTAACTAGTGTTACAACTGAGTTGATATTCTAAAATATAACACAGTTTGTACTTTTATTACTAGTTAGCATACACATTTTATAGGCTTATGGTTAATAAATGAATTCACGGACTCCTGGACTACTTTCATTGATGACCATATCTCCAGGGATGTTGTTGATCCCCACACTGCCTTAAGGTATATTATATAAACAGTTTTATTTTCCGTTTTTCTTGTTTCCTGATAATCAATGTATTTAGGACTGAAAATACTTCTGAGTACTCCCTTGGCAGTATGTCTGACAGTCTTTAGCTATGGTGACTATTGTTTATTTTTAACGGGTATTTCAGATTCCAAGTGTATTTAAAATTTCTAAGGAGATATAATATAGCCTGTATGGTTTCTATTTTATGGAATTATATGGTCAATATTTGTAAATATTCTATGAGTTTTGGGTGGGTAGAGGGGTGCTTTGCCTGTTTTGGGTACAGGTTTTTTTGGATTTAGCTTGTTAATTGTTCAAACTTTCTGCCTTCTACATTCCTATCTTATTGTTCATTTAATCAGTTCCTGAAATGTAAGCATTACATGACTATTGTTGAGTTCTGCCTTTTATAACTGAAATACTTTACTTTTTCTCATATCCTCTATAATTGACTTCTATTTTCCTTAATCAAACCAGCTCTGGGAAATTTAATACATTTATTTTAATTGAGATTATTAAAACATTTGGACTATTCAAAAAAATAAAATATTAAGACTAAATCTATAAAATGCAAATATAATTATTTAAATTATTCACTCAGGTTTAAAATCAATTCTGTGTATTGTTTTAATAAAGTGGGAATTGTATTAGTCTGTTTTCACACTGCTATAAAGTACTACCTGAGACTGGGTAATTTATAAAGAAAAGAGGTTTAGTTGACTCAGAGTTCTGCATGGTTGGGGAGGCCTCAGGAAACACAATCATAGCAGAAGGTGAAGAAGCAGCAAACACCTTCTTCACAAGGCATCAGGAGAGAGAGCAAAGGCGGAAGTACTACACGTCTTAAACCATCATGTCTTGTGATAATTCACTCACTATCATGAGAACAGCATAGGGAGAACCCACTCCCATGATCCAATTACCTCCCACCTGGTCCCTCTCCTGACGTGGGGATTACAATTTGACATGAGATTTGGACTCAAAGCCAAACCATATGAGGAATTTAGTCAAAGCAATAAACCCGTTTCAATAAGTTGTCTAACAAATGTTAAACAAATAAGCTGATTAAAGTAGATATATTATAACTTTCTTGACATTTGATCAAAGTCAAATGAAGTAATATTATGTTTTGGATCAAAAACTAATGCTTTTATTCTTCCATAAGAAATATACTCTGACAGTCTAAAATTTCTTTTTGGAGACATAATCAGTTCTATTTAATAAATTATAGTTAAGTGTTATCACTGAGAATATACATAATAAACTTACATCATAATTTCGTTTCATTACAGCCTCTTAAAAATAAAGAATCTGCTCAAGAATGAGGAGGGTAGGCATCTGTTACAGAGAGACTACAACAAATGTCTCTGTTGACCCTAATAACACAACAGGATTAAAATTACATGCACGTTACAGGATTTGCCAATTATGAAAATATTTTAGATTCAGACCCAGTGATTTATAAAATCAAAATGGAATATTATATTAGTTCCCTATTGCTCTGAATAAATTCAGAGGCTTGAAGCAATGTGAGTTTAGGTCAGAAGTCTAAAGTCTAGGTGCCAGAAGTGCTGCACTCCTTCTGGAGCTTTCAAGAGAGAATCAGTTTCCTTTCCTGTTTCATTATTTAAGATTTTAAAAATTCCTTAAAATTATAGAATGATACTTCCTCTAATCATGGCAACCAAAGGCCATAATACAGAACTTCCACAAAATACCAATAGGCCTTTCTCTGTTTTTTTTTTTTTTTTTTTTCATTTAATTTGCCCCTAAGGAAATAGAATGATTCATTTGATTTGTAAGCACAGGGAAACAACTAGGCACAAACATCTTTTGTCTTACTCTTCACCCTCTTGGGAGCAAGTCTGCCTATTAAAAGCCCAAGCTCTCTTCAGCTATTCCATGACATCTAAGCAAATGTGTAGAATTCCATTTGCAATGCTCATTATTAAAAATTTACACCCTAAAGAGAATGTCAGATTTACAAATGACGAACATAAAATGAACCAGGGAAATGGAAATATCTTTGGATGAGATACAAATAATTGATTACCCCATAGTTGCACACTATGGCTTTAGAGATGATGGCTAAAGTAAATCCATTACACATATGTTGTGATGAATAATATTAGGTGTCAACTTGATTGAATTGAGGGATACCTAGATGGCTGGTAAAGTATTGCTTCTGTGTGAGTCTATGAGGGCATTGCCTGAGATTGATAGTTGAGTTGGCAGACTGGGAGAGGAAGACCCACCCTCAATGTAGGTGGGCACCATCTAATCGGCCGCCAGTGCAGCTAGAACAAGGCAAGTGGAAGAAGGTGAGATACATTTACTTGGTGAGTATTCTGGCTCTCTTTCTTCTTTCCATGCCAGATGCTTGCTTCCACTCCTCTTGCCCTTAGACATCAGATTCCAGGCTCTTCGATCTTTGGACTCTGGGACTTGCACCAGTGACTTCTTGCGGGTTCTTGGGCCTTTGGCAGCAGACAAAGGGCTGCACTGTTAGCTTACTTGATTTTGAGGCTTTTGGACTTGGACTTAGGCACTATGGGTTTCTCTCCTTCCCCAGCTTGCAGATAGTCTATTGTGGGACTTTACCTTGTAATCTTGTGAGCCAATTCTAATAAAATACCTTTAATATATATACATATAACTTATTGGTTCTGTCCCTCTGGAGACCTCTTGCTAATACTGATTTCTAACATGAATTAATTCAACAAATATTATCAAGCATTTATTATTTTCTAGGTAATACGCCAGGTGCTAATATATGTTGGCAAATAATTTGTTACGTCAAAAATCTATTAATTTATTTAACAGCTTTTTACTAAGAGTTTAATATATAGCAAGCACTTGAGGGATTAAGGAATTATTAACTCAGTTTTGGTACAGAATTTAAAGTACCAGGTTTGTTGTAATTTTAATTAAAATGGCTGTATAATAAGAAATATGCATAATAGAAGCTTCGATGTTGCTTATATTTTCTATTTCTTCATCTTGGTCAAACATCTACAGCCATTAATTTTATTTGCACTCTATCACATCACTTGAAACAGACTGTTAAATCAGTATGATTAAAGCAAACGTATGGTTCCCAAAGACATCCCTCTTACAAAACACATATTTTGATTCATGAACAGAATTTGATTTTGAGACATTTTCTTTATTCAGAAATGCCCAATACCCATCATTTATTCCTTCCTTCCCTCCTTATTTTCTTTTTCTTCCTACCTTCATTCTTCTCTTTCTTTTTATACTGATGGATAACATTGTATGTGTTTTCCATATACATGATGTTTTGAGGATTTATTCATTGCAGAATGACTAATTATAGTTATTAACATATGAATTACCTCACACAGTTATTCTTTCATGTGATGAGGACCCTTTACAACCATTGTTTTAACATTTTTCAGTAACACATTATGACTTACAGTCACCATGCTGTGCAATATACTTTTTCAACTTATTCCTTATATTTAACTAAAATGTTGTATCCTTTGATCATCATCTCCCCAGTATTTCCCCACTCCAGCCATCCTAGCCCGTTTACCACCATTGTACTCTCTGCTTCTATGAGTTCAACATTTTTAGATTTCACATATGAGTGAGATAATGCAGTATTGTCTGTTTATGACTTTTTTCATTTAACAAAATATCCTCCAGGTTAATTCAAGCCATTACAAATAACAGAATTTCCTGCTTTTCTATGGTTGAATAGTATTTAATTATGTATATGTCTTCTGTAGGCATCTTGGTTTTCTGCCTATAATCTGTCTTGTCTTTTTGCAAACTCTTCCTTTGCCAGTTTTTCACTGGGAGTGTTTCCTGTGGCCATCCTCAGTCCCTTTTTTTCATGGTACATTCCTCCCCTCAACCTCTATATCTTCAGTTCTGCTGATAATTCTTGAATCTAACTCCCAAGTGGAGATACCTCTATGGAGGTATAAACCTGTGCAATCAAATAACTAATTTTGTGGTAATAGGTCATAAAATACTCTAGAACCTCTGCATAAAATATAGAGCTCTCCCAAATCCTATTTCTTTTTCTATCACCTCTGTCTCATTAAATGTTACCAAAGTCCACACAATTAGCAAAAGAAAAGTATAAAAGTAACTTTTACTAAAATTCCTGGGCCTAATGTTAAAGTAGGCGCACAGGAGGCTTCTCAGAATCAGGAAAATAAAGACAACATATCAGAAGTGTAAATGATCTAAGCTTTGAGAAAGCAAAGAAGTCTAGCAAATAAGTAGAAAAATACTTTTGAAAACATAGAGGAAGATGTTTAAATAAAAAGTTAAAATTGGTGAACGCTAGCATATATCTTGGCATAGGCCTATTTTAAGTTATATGGAAAGTAATAGGAACTTTAATCTCTAGTCAGGCATTTTTAATCTATTTTTCATTGGTAAGAGGGCAGAGCAAATGGAAAAATAGGACAATCCCATGATTGTTCTTCTACAGTAACATAAATTTGAACAGTTATCCACATGCAAAAGTATCTTCAGAAGAGCTAAGGAAGTGAGGGGGAAGATCATAGGCATTGTTTCGGCATAATAATAAGAAAAGATGCATTGAATAGGGGAGAAAAAATGGATTACCTTATCCACATCACTCCTCTCTCAACTTCAGGAAGCATAATGTGAAAAATATACTGTCTTATTGGAAAAAAGAGAAGAAAGTGAGCATAGGACTTTGTCTTGGTATACTGAGGCCATCATACTAAAACCCAGTACCAGGAAAAACCCTAAATCCCCTCAATCCATGCCAGTACTGTGGACTGAGCCTCCTGATCTGCCCCAGTGCCAGGCAAGAACCTGTAGCCCCCTTAAAACAAATTTGGTCTCTGGCTCAAATCACTGCTGGCTGACTACAGAAGGCTTGACTTCCGGAAAAACTTTACAGGAGGCAGCCCTCGGATGCTACTGACTTCATGTGTGCCCCATTATTGCACTAGCCTCAGTGGCTGTGGACTTCGGATGCACCCCAGCACAGCACCAGCCTTGATGTCCACAGGATTACAGCCTAACACTGCACTAACCATGGAAATCTTATGCTTAATTCATCTCTAGCATTGCAACTGCTGCAGTTGTTACAGGCTTAGTGATCACATTAGCTGACCAGCTCAGTATCTCTGGACAGACTTAATGTTGAAGAATATTTTTAGATAAATCTAGACAGCAAAGACTGGAATTTTTTCAATGTGCAGACATCAATGAATAAGCACAAGGATCAGAAACAATCAGAGAAATATGATGTCATCAAATAAACAACACAAATTGTCAGTGGCCAACCCTAAGGTGATGGAGATGTATGAACTGCCCCCCAAAATGTCAAAATAGCCATTTAAGGAAGTTCAGAAAACTTTAAGAAAACAAAGAGAAATAATACAAAAAAATGAGGAAAACCATAAAGGAACAGAATAAAGAATTTAATAGACAGAATAAAATAAAAATTAAAAGTGAAATAAAACAAATCTTAAAACTAAAAAATATAATGAATGAAGTAAGAAATTTAATAGAGATCATCATCAGCAGAATTGATCAAGCAGAAAAATGAATCTGTAAACTCAAAGATAGGTGATATGAAAATATACAGTCATGGGGAAAAAGAAAAAAATGAAGAAATCCTGCAAGATTTACAGGACAGCATGAAAAGAGCAAATTTTTGATTCATTGAAGTTTAAGAGGGAGTAGAAAAAGACAAAGGGGTAGAAAGCTTATAGTAAGAAACTTTTCAGCCCTAAAGAAAGGCATACATATTCCAGTAAAGGAAGATCAAAGGTGAACATCAGATTTGATACAATTAAGAGTACAGGAAGACATATTATTATGCAACTATCAAAGATCAAAAACAAAGAATCATAAAAGCACCAAGATAAAAATAAGCAAATAAGGAAGTTCCAATATATCTGGCAGCAGACTTTCTTTTTATAGGTTAGGAGGAGTGGGATGATGTATTCAAAGAGCTGAAGAAAAAATAAGCAAAAATCTGTCAGCAAAGAATACTGTGCCCAGTAAAACTGTTCTTCAGAAATGAGGGAAAGATACTTTCCCAGGCAAACAAAGCTGAATAAATTTATCACCAGCAGCCCTGTATTATAAGAGATAATAAAAGGAGTTATTCAAGCTAAAAGAAAAGGATGCTGATGAGTAACACAAAAACATTTGGAAGTAGAAAACTCACGGTAAAAGTAAATACAGTCAAAATTAGAATATGCCAATACCGTAATGGCAGTAGGTAAATCATTCATACCTTTAGTATGAAAGTTAAAAAGCAAAGCTATTAAAAATAATAACTCTATTTATAAAACAATATGAAATATAAAACGATGTTAATGTTGACATCAAAAATTCAACCTCTCGGGGACGAGAACTCCAGCTGGTGCAGAGCCCCTAGAGTTTGATGTGGAAGTATCTATAGTGGAGCATGGCCAGGGGCACCAATCCCCCAAGTTTCACCTTGCTCCTCTAGGAGACCTTAGCCTTAGGGAAACTACTGGGCATGAACAGAGCAGGGTGATCTTGCCCATGAGACAGGGTCAGTCTTATCTGAGAATGCTCCTGTGTGTTGGCCTTTCCTGGTGCCCTACCCTGGCAATATCTGCTTGTAGTGCAGCATTGTATGGCTAGCCAGAGTGTCTTCCAGGGGCTTGCATCATAGCTCCTGTGCTGGCAGACCATGCCTGACTGTCAGAGAGCTCCAGCAGAGCAGCTCACATTGACACACACTAGCCCACCTTTCCATACCACAGCACCCCCATGCCACTTTGCCAGCATGCACTTTCCCATGGCCACCCCAACATTGCTATGCCAGCATGTGTGCACATGGAAAAAACTTACCTCCCCTTCCCTGCCAGTGTATATGTATGTCTGCATCCCAATGCGCAACTACTGCTGTAAGAACACCCCCCCCCCCAACTGTGCCACCATTGCCAATGCAAACACAGAGAAGGAGACAAGCAGCCCCACCCTGCACTGCCATTGCAACCAATGCTTCATGGCATGGAGCCCACAAGATCCATGCCCACCTGCATCTCACTCCCATGCTGACACTGTAGCCAGACCAAACCTGCACACAAAGACTGGCAGCCCCACCCCCACACAGCACTACCAATGCCACTATCACAAAGGAATGCACAGAAAGTGCCAACCCTGTTCCTGCCAGTGCCCTGCCCCTGCACCAACAGTGTCACTGACATGAATGTGCCCACAGTCACCAATGGTCTCACCCCCAGCACATGCTATGCTATGACCACCAACACTGCAAACATGCACATGGAGACTGGCACATCTGTGCCAACCAGAACCTCACCTCAGCCAACGAGTATGCACCCCACTGTGCTGCTGCTCCTGCTGGCACATGTGAACAAGCATGGATCCTACTGCTACTGCCCAGCAAAGCACTTTGGCTGGCACCACTTATTGGAGTGTTATTATAAGCAGTCCAGGAACACTTTGGTCCCTGCAGGGCAGTAAATTCATAACCTCAAGAGGCAAGAGAACAAAGCTCAGGGCCCAATACCAGCCCCCCAGAGTTAAAGCACGCAACTCAGGAGTCTTGAGTTGAGCCTTGAGCCCCTAAAATATTTCAGGAATAAATTCAGTTGACTGAAACCACCCTATACCACAATCAAACCCCAAAAGACATCAAAGAAGATAAAAAAGAAAACATCCAAAGGACAGAAACTTCAAAAATTGAAGGAGTATCAGCCCACAAAAATGAGAAAGAACCAGTGTAAGAACTATGGCAACTCAAAAGGCCAGTGTTTTTTCTTCCAACTGGCCACAATAGTTCCATAATAGTGGTTCTTAAACAGGCTAAAATGACAGAAATAGAATTCAGAATATAGATAAAAATGAAAATCATCTAGATTCAGGAGAAAGTCCAATCCCCATCCAAGACATCTAAAAAATACAATAAAAGCATACAGAAGATGAGAGGTGAAATGCCCATTTTAATAAAGAAGCAAAGTGATCTGAAAGAGCTGAAAAACTCACTTCAAGAAGTTCAGAATGTAAACTGCAAGTATTAACAGCAGAATCAACAAAGGTGAGGAAAAATCCCAAAGCTTGAACTTGAAGACTGGATCTTTGAAATAACTCAGCCAGATAAATAAATAAATAAATAAATAAATAAATAAATAAATAAATAAAATAAAGAAGAAAATAAAGAAGAATGAATAATACCTGAAATAAATATGGGATTATGTAAAGAGATCAAGATGGCATCAAGAGGGAGAGAAAGCAAGCAACCCCATCGGGCTAACTCTAGATCTTTCATCAGAAACCTTACAAGCCAGAAGATGTTGGGTGCCTATATTTAGCATTCTTAAAGGAAAGAATTTTTAACCAAGAAACTTATGTCCTGTCAAACAAAGCTTCATAAGCAAAGGAGAAATAAGATCCTTTTCAGACAAGCAAATGCTAAGGAAATTTGTTACCACTAGACCTGCCTTACAAAAGGTCTTGAAGAAAGTGTTAAATATAGGAAGGAAAGATCATTACTAGCCACTACAAAAACACTCTTAAGTACAGGAACCAGTGACACTATGAAGCAACCACACAAAAAAAGTCTGCATAATAACCAGCTAACAAGATAAAAGGATCAAATTTACCCATATCAATACTAACCTTGAATGTAAATGAGTTAAATGCCCCAATTAAAAGGCACAGAGTGCCAAGTGGATAAAGAAGCAAGACAACTGTATGCTGTCTTCAAGAGACTCATCACATATGTAATTACACATAGAAGCTCAAAGTAAGGTGATGAAGAAAAATCTACCAAGCAAACAAAAACAGAAAAGAAAAGCAATTGTTGTTACTCTACTCTGAGGGAAAAAAATTAAAAAACACAAATGAACTTTAAACCAACAAAAGTTAAAAAACATAGGCATTGCGTAATGGTTAAGGACTCAATTCAACAAGAAGACCTAGCTATTCTAAATATAAATACTGCCAGATGCATACTGCCAGTCCTTAGAGACCTATGAAGGGACTTAGAAAACCCCAAAACAGTGGGCAATTTCAACACTCCACTTATAGTATTAAAAAAAATTATTGAGGCAGAAAACTAACAAAGATATTCAGAACCAGATCTTGACGCCTGACAAAATGGGCCTAATGTAAATCTACAGAACTTTCCACCAAAAACAACAGAATATACATTCTTCTCACCTTCATATTGTACATGCTTTAAAATCAACCACATAGTCAGGCATAAAACAATCCCCAACAATTAAATTAAAAAGGGATTATATCAACCACACTCTTGGACCACAGTGCAATAAAAATAAAAATCAATGCCAAGAAAAGTGCTCAAAACCATAAAATTACATGAAAATTAAACAACCTACTCCTATATGATTTCTGGGAAAATAATGACGTAAATCCACAAATTCTGTGAAACTAATGAGAACAAGAATAAAACATACCAGAATCTCTGGAACACAGATAAAGGAACGCTGAGAGGGAAGTTTATTGCAATAATCACCCACATCAAAAAGTTAGAAAGATCTCCATTTAACAGTCTAACATCACAACTATAGGAACTAGAGAAAGAAGAGCAAATCAACCCCAAGGCTAGCAGAAGACAAAAAATAATGAAAATCAAAGCTGAACTGAATGAAATAGAGACACAAAAACCATACAAAAGATCAACAAATGCAGGATTTTTTTTTGTTGGAAAGAACTAATAGGATAGATAGACCGTTAGCTAGATCAATTTAAAAAAGGAGAGCAAGTCCTAATAAACATAATCAGAAATGACAAAGGAGTCATTACCATTGACCCCACAGAAATACAATGAAACTTTCAAAGACTACTATGAACACCTCTTTGCACACAATCTAGAAAACCTAGGAGTTGATAAAATCCTGGAAACATACAACTTCCTAAGATTGATCCAGGAAGAAACTGAATCCTTGAACAGACTAATAATGAGTTCTAAAATTGAACCAGTAATGAAAAGTCTACCTAACAATAAAATTCCAGGACCAGATAGATTCACAGCCAAATTCTGCCAAATGTACAATGAAGACCTGGTACCATTCCCATTGAAACTATTCCACAAAATGAAGAGGAGTGACACCTACCTAACTCATTCTGTGAGGCCAGTATCATCCTAATACCCAAAACTGGCAGAGACATAACAACAACATGAAAAACTTCAGGCCAATATCCTTGATGAACATTGGTGGAAAAAATCCCCAGCAAAATACTAGCAAACAAAATCCAGCAGCACATCAAAAAGCTAGTCTACTATGTTCAAGTAGGCTTTATCCTTGGGATGCATATTTGATCAACATACACAAATCAATAAATGTGATTCATCACATAAACAGAAGTAAAAACAAAACCACATAATCATCTCAGTAAATGCATAAAAGGCTTTAGATAAAATTCAATATCACTTCATGTCAAAAATCCTCAACTAAGTAGTCAGTGAAGGAACATACTTCAAAGTAATAAGAGCCATCTATGCAAAACTCACAGCCAACATCATACTGAATGGGTGAAAGCTGGAAAGCTTTCTCTTGAAAAATCATAAGACAAGGCTGCCCTCTCTCACTACTCCTATTCAACATAGTCCTGGAAGTCCTAGCCAGAGCAATTAAGCAACAGAAAGAAACAAAAGGCATCCAAAAAGGAAGAATCAATATTATTAAAATGGCCGTATGGCCCAAGGCAAAAATAGAGTCAATGCTATTCTTATCAAAATACCAATGACATTCTTTACATAATTGGAAAGAAACTAGTCTAAAATTCATATGGAACCCAAAAAGAGCCCTAGTAGCCAAGGCAATCCTATGCAAAAAGAACAAAGTTGGAGACATCACATTATCCAACTACAAACTATACTACAAGACAATACCAAAAACAGCATGATACTTCTACAAAGTAGACACTAGATAAATGTAACAGAATGGAACCTAGAAATAATGCTGCACACCTACAATCGTCTCATCTTCAACAAGATCAACAAAAACAAGCAATGGGGAAAGGACTCCCTATTCAATAAATGGTAGTAACCATACACAGAAGATTAAACTGAACCCCTTCCTTATACCACATACAAAAATCAACTCTAGATGGATTAAAGATGTAAATGCACAACCTAAAACTATAAAATCTCTGGAAGATAACCTAGGAAATACCATTCTAGACATAGGCCCTGACAAAGATTTCATAATGAAGATGCCAAAAACAACTGCAACCAAAACAAAAACGGACAAATGGAATCTAATTAAAGAGCTTCTGCACAACAAATGAAACTATCAAGAGTAAACAGCCTACAAAATGAGAGAAAACATTTGCAAACTCTGCATCTGACAAATGTCTAATATCCAGAATCTATACAAGGAACTTAAACAAATCAACAAGCAAAAACCAAACAACCCCAATAAAAAGCGGGCAAAATATATAAACAGACATTTTTAAAACTAAGATATACACGTGGCCAACTAGCATATAAATAAATGCTCAACTTAATCACTACAAAAATGCAAATCAAAATTACAATGAGGTATTATTTCATACCAGTCAGAATGGCTATTATTCAAAAGTCAATAAATAACCAATGCTTCTGGGGCCATGGAGAAAAGGGAACATTTATACAATGCTGCTAGGAATCTCAATTAGTTCAGCCACTGTGGAAAGCAGTTTGGCAACTTCTCAAAGAACTTAAAACAGAATTATCATTCAACCCGGCAATCCTACTATGGGTATATACCCAAAGGAATATAAGTCGTTCTACCATAAAGTCACATGCACGCCTATGTTTATGGCAGCACTATTCACAATGGCAAAGACATGGACTCCTTCTAAATGCCCATGAATGTAGCCTGCATAAAGAAAATATGGTACATATTCACCATGGAATACTCTGCAGCCATAAAAAGAAGAAGATTATGTTCTTTTTAACAACATGGATGGAATTGAAGCCATTATTTTAAGCAAACTAATACAGCAACGGAAAACCAAATACTGTATGTTCTAACATAATTGGAAGCTAAATATTGGAGATATATGGACACAAAGAAGGGAACAACAGGCACTGTAGTCTACTTAAGGGTGGAGAGTGGGAGGTGGGTGAGGATTGAAAAACTATCTATTGGATACTATGCTGATATCTGGGTCATTAAATAGTCTGTATACCAAACCACCATAACACACAATTTACCTATGTAGCAAACCTCCACAGGTGCCCCCTGAATCTAAAATAAAAGTTAAAAATATGTGGGGGAAAGTTGAGTAAAAGTGTAGAGTTTTGTTTTTTTCCTCACATTCAAAGTTAAATTGCTATCAGCTTAAAATAATCTTTTATGACTATAAAATATTTTTTGTAAGGGTCACGGTAACCATAAAGAAAAAACCTATAACAGAAACACAAAAAATGAAAAGCAAAGAATAAAACGTGTTACTAAAGAAAATAACTTATCAACAAAGAAAGACAGTAAGAGATCAAGAAATAAAAGATATACAAAACAACCAAAAACAATTAACAAAATGAAAGTAGTAAGTCCTTGTATATATAGATTAAATTCTCCAATCAAAAACATAGAGGCACTGAATGGATAAAAAAAAAGTCAAGAGTGCATACCAGCTAGAAGAGATTCTCTTCACCTGTAAGGACACACATAGACTGCAAGTAAAGAAATTCAAAAAGACATTCTATGTGAATGGAACCCAAAAGAGAGCAGAAACACTTATATTTATATCAGATAGAACAGCCTTCCAATCAAAAACTGTAAAAAGAGACAAAGGTCATTATATCATGATAACAAGGCCAATTCAACAAGAAGATATAAAAGTTGCAAATATATTCAGTTGGTTCTTTGTATCCATGGGTTCTGTGCCCACAGATTTAAATAATTACAGGTCAAAAATATCAAATAAATAAATAAATAGAATAACAAAATAATATAAATAAAATATAGTATAACAACTATATATGTAGCATTTACATTGTATTACTTATTATACATAATCTAGATATGACTTAAAGTGTATGGGAACATTTACATAAATTATATGCAAATACTTCATCTTTTTTTTATGGTAGACATAGGTGTCTGCAGATTTTGGTATTCACAGAGGATCCTGAAACCAATTCTTCGTGAATACCAAAGGACAACTGTATGCATCCAACATTGGAGTGCCTAAATACATAAAACAAATAGAGAAATAGATTTTAATACAATAATAGTCGGCGACCTCAAAATACCATGCAGCAATCGACAGATCAGCCAAGCAGGAAATCAGTGAGCAAACATTGCACTTAAATTACACTTTATACCAAATGGACCAAACAGAAATACAGAGAACATTCTATCCAACAGCTGCAAAATACACATTCTTTTCAAGTGCACAGGAGACCTTACCCAAGATAGATCACGTTAGGCTGAAAAACATGTCTCAACAAACATAAGAGAATTAAAATCATATAGAATATATTTTCTGACTACAATGGCACAAAACTAGATATCAATAAAAAGAGGAACTTTGGAAAATTCACAACTACCTGAAAATTAAACAATATGCTTTTGAACAACCATTATGTCAATCAAGAAATTAAAGGGGAAATTAAAAATATGTTGAAACAACAGGTGCTGGAGAGGATGCGGAAAAATAGGAACACTTTTACACTGTTGGTGGGACTGTAAACTAGTTCAACCATTGTGGAAGTCAGTGTGGCGATTCCTCAGGGATCTAGAACTAGAAATACCATTTGACCCAGCCATCCCATTACTGGGTATATACCCAAATGAGTATAAATCATGCTGCTATAAAGACACATGCACACGTATGTTTATTGCGGCACTATTCACAATAGCAAAGACTTGGAACCAACCCAAATGTCCAACAATGATAGACTGGATTAAGAAAATGTGGCACATATACACCATGGAATACTATGCAGCCATAAAAAATGATGAGTTCATATCCTTTGTAGGGACATGGATGAAATTGGAAACCATCATTCTCAGTAAACTATCGCAAGAACAAAAAACCAAACACCGCATATTCTCACTCATAGGTGGGAATTGAACAATGAGATCACATGGACACAGGAAGGGGAATATCACACTCTGGGGACTGTGGTGGGGTTGGGGGAGGGGGGAGGGATAGTATTGGGAGATATACCTAATGCTAGATGACACATTAGTGGGTGCAGCGCACCAGCATGGCACATGTATACATATGTAACTAACCTGCACAATGTGCACATGTACCCTAAAACTTAGAGTATAATAAAAAAAATAAAATAAAATAAAAAAAAATAAATGAAAAAAAAAAAAATAAAATGAAAGTAAAATGTTATTTAAAAAAAAATAAAAATATGTTAAGATAAACAAAAATAGAAACACAGCTTACTGGAACTTGAATATGTTAAGTGAAATAAGCCAGGCACAAAGAAAAACGTCACATTTTCTCATGTATTTTTGGGATCAAAAAATTAAAATAATTGAACTGATAAACATAGAGAGTAGAAGGATGGTTAGCAGAATCTGGGAAGGTTAGTGGAGGGTTGCACAGCGGGTGGAGGGGCAGAGATGGGGATAGCTAATGGGTACAAAAAGTTGAAAGAATAAGATATACTATTTGATAGCACAATAGGGTGATTATAGTCAATAGTAACTTAATTGCACATTTCAAAATAACTTAAAGAGTGTAACTGAATTGTCTGTAACTCAAATAACAAATGCTTGACGGGATGAACACCCCATTCTCCATGATGTGCTCATTTCATTTTGGATGCCTGTGTCAAAACAGCTCCTGTACCCCATAAATATATGTACATACTATGAACCCACAAACATTTATATATATATATATATATGCAAAAAGAACAAAGCTGGAGGCATCACACTACCTGACTTCAAAATATACTACAAAGATGTACTAACCAAAATAATATGGTACTGGCATAAAAACAATCACATAGAAAAATGAAATAGAATAAAGAGTCCAGAAATAAACCTAGGCATTTACAGCCAACTGATTTTTGACAAAGTTATCAAAAACACACAATGGGTAAAAGAAAGTGTCTTCAATAAATGGTGTTGAGAAAACTGTATGTCCACATGCAGAAGAAAAAAGACCTTTATCTCTCATCATATAAACATATCAACTCAAAACGATTGAAGACTTAAATGTATGACCTGAAACTATGAATCTACTAAAATAAACATAGTGGAAAAGCTCCATGATATTTGTCTGGGCAATGATTTTCTGCATGTGACCTCAAAAGCACAAGAAACAAAAGCAAAAGCATGCAAATGAGATTGCATCAAACTAAAATGCTTCTGCACAGCAAAGGAAACAATCAACAGAGTGAAGAGACCTACAAAATAGGAGAAAATATTTGCAAACCATATATCTGATAAAGGGTTAACACGAAAAATTTGCAAGGAACTCAAAAACCTCAATAGCAAGGAAACAAATAACCTGATTTAAAAGTGAACAACTGACCGGAATAGGAATAGATGCTTCTCAAAATAATTCATATGGATGACCAACAGATTATATTTAAAAGTGTTCAAAATATCTAATCGCCAGAAAAATGCAAATCAAAACCACAATAGATATTTCTTCCCTCGTGAAAATGGCTATCATCAAAAAGTCAAAGGATAAGTTTTCAAACAATGTGGAGAAAAGGGAACCCTTGCAGTGTTGATGGGAATGAAAATTAGTATGGATATTTGGAAAAACAGTATGAAGTTTTCTCGATGAGTTAAAAATAGAATTACCACATTATCCAGCAATTCTGCTACTGGGTATATGCCCAAAGGAAATGAAATTGGTATGTCAAAGAGACAAATGCAATCTAGTATTTATTGCAGCTTTATTCACAATAACCAAAATATAGAATCAACCTAAGTGTCCAGCAACATACCATGAATAAAGAAAATGTATATTTATATAAAATGCAACATTATTTGTCCAGAAAAAAGAAAGCTGTCCTGTCATTTGTGGGTGAAGTATGGATGAACAGTATGGATGAATCTGGAGAAAATTATTTCAAGTGAAATTATCCAGGCACATAAATACAAATACTGCATGATCTCATTAATAGAGAGAAGCTATTAAAAAAAGTGGATCTCATAGAAGCAGAGAGTAGAATGGTTGCTCTCAAAGGCTGGGTTGGTTGGGGAGATGTTGGTCAGAGGATTCATATTTACAATTAAAAAGAATAAGTTCAAGGATCTATTGTATGGCATAGTGAATATAATTAATGATAATATATTTTATTCTTGAAAACGATAAGACAATTGGTATTTTCACCACAAAAATGCTAACTATGTAAGGCAATGTACATATTAATTATATTTAACATTTTACATTATGTATACATTTGAATCATGTTGTACATAATAAATACATGTAGTTTTGTCAATTAAAAATGAAATTGAAAAATAAAATTACTCCACATTTTAGTTTTTTCTGTTTTCTTTTATTTATTTATTATTTTAATTGTTAATTTTTGTGGGTACATAGTAGGTTTATGTATTTGTGGGGTACAAGAGACACTTTGATACAGGCATGCAATGCATAATAACACATCATGTCAAAACTCATCTCAAAGTTTTGTGATTTGTCTAGAAAACCCAATCCAGAAGAGAATTGGATATCATTTTAAGAATATGTACAGAATCAGAGAATATACAAATAGGTTTGCAACTGAGGAAGAACATTAGAGGGGATATAAATGTTGGTTGAGATGTATTAAGAAATCTGAAAAGATTACACAAGCATAGATAGTATCACTCGATGTAAATGTGAAACACTGCTAATTTCTATATGTTTGACAACAATACAGTGGGGTGTGTGTGTGTGTGAGTCTTTGTGTCTGTGTGCACACACACGCTACAGGAGTTTTATGGGAAATTGGGCGAGATGACTATACACACAGGAATACAAAGGGACACTTAACCACATATCTTCACTACCCTCATTGATCTCCCTCAACCATATTTTTTGCTAGCTGCTCTCTCCCATATATTCCTCTTTCTCATCTTCATAAGTCTTTACCCACCTTGTTAATCTAGATTTTTATTCTACCTGGGAATGCCAAATTGTTAATATTCTTTTAAAATACCTCTAATTTGAAAATAAATTTGATGGTATCAAATTAAGTGTCTGGAAATAGTTCAGTTCATGAAATAACTCTGTAGAAAGAATTACAGTGAAAGGAAAAAAGGTTTAGCTGTCATTTAAGAATTGTTTCAAGAGTATTTAGGAAGAACACCATAATGTGGGAATAAATTTTTCTGGTTATAAAAAACTCGATATTCCTAGAAATTGAAGGAATCGAGCAAAATTAAAACTGAAAAATTGTATATTATACCAAAAATTGCCAGTTTCTAAAGACAAATGAAAGTGATAGAGTATTACCTTAGAGTTCTAAAAGTAGAAGCCTAGTTAGTTTCAAATAGGAACACAAATATTAATGCATCTAAAACAATATTTAATTTTTTATATAACAGACTTGTTAGTATAATCTGTACTCGGAATATTTATGTGCTTTTATAAGGCACCACACCTAATGCATTTGCTATGAATAGCACAATAAAAATATTAGCATTATCAAAATCTGAAAATTATATGACAGTATATTCTGGTTTCCAGTCAAAATTTCACTTTATCTATTAGAACATAAAAAGACATAAAAAATTGAGGAAAAGAAGGACCCTAAATAGATTAAATACAATGGGTCATTGTAACATTAACTTCTATTTGAAGATAATCCAATATTGAATTTTCTATGACACTTAAAACATATAGTACTGTATAAATATTTTTTTCCTATAAGTTTGTGTAGAACTATAGTATTCAAGTATACACTGCCTATACTAATATCCACAGAAAGATCAGAGTCATCTAGAAGGTTATGAAAAGAAAGGAAAGTTTGAGAATGACGTTGATTACTAGCAAGAAAATGAGAATAAAGTTGTCTCTTGAAGGTAGACGTTATTATGACAAATTAGAACAATATAATTATTTCACAGTACTAAACATAAAGATGTAACTATTCATTTAAGATAAAATGTAAGTAGATTAAAGAACCCTTAACATTAAATCATGATTTAATTTTAAAAGGTGAAACAATTACTTTATACAATTTTAAAAATATTTCCTTGAAGGATGCTTATTGTTTTTGTTTTGTTTTTCTTCAACTTTTATTTTAAGTTCAGGGGTACATGTGCAGGATGTGCAGGTTTGTTACATTGGTAAACATCTGCCATGGTGGTTTGCTAGACAGATCATCCCATCACCTAGGTATTAAGCCCAGCATATATTAGCTTTTCTTCCTGATAGTCTCCCTTTCCCCACCCACAGGCCCCACTCTGTGTTTCTCCCATATGTCCATGTGTTCTCATCATTCAGCTCCTACTCATAAGTGAGAAAATGCAGTGTTTGGTTTTCTGTTCCTGTGCTAGTTTGCTGAGGAGAATGGCTTCAAACTCCATCCATGTCCCTGCAAAGGACATGATCTCATCCCTTTTTATGGCTGCATAGTATTTCATGGTGTATACATTTCACTTTTTTTTTTTTTAAATCTGGTCTATTATTGATGGGCATCTAGGTTGATTTCATGTCTTTGCTATTGTGAGCAGTACTTCCCTGCAGGACATTTCTATGCCTCCCGTATAATACTCCGTTCTACCATTGTGGGAGACATAATATTGGCCAAAGAGGGGGTTAATTCTGCTGTCTCATTCCTTATGTTCTTAGGATTTAATTTAAACCTTATTGAAGGCAAAAGCAGGTCTAAGTACCACTAATGGAAGTCTAATGAATGTTAAGAGTTAAGAGAAATTGAGAAGAAATTCATAATAAGCTTTCAAATCAGTTCATAGAAATAAGGGGGCAAATTATATTTTACAAGACGTTTTAGGTTACAAATACTCATGCACTGCAGAAGTACAAATTGAACTAGCTAGCCTAGGATGAGACTGAAAGACATAAGTGTTAAATATAGTCAGAAGATCAACACACTATTTTTTTACTTCAAAATTATCTGTGCGATTCTCATTCTTTAATTTCATGTTTTCTGTGTTGGTATACTCTTATTTTAAGATACACATTGTATCAGGTAACAGAAACAATGGAGTTGGAGATTTGCCTTCAGAAATAGAATTCAAAAACATTTGTGTGAAACTTGGTGTCTCCAAATGTGCAATGTATGGGACAGATGTAAATTTGGGGAGAATCAAAGCAACATTTTATAACTTAAGTCATGTAAAAGCATCTGGCAGGAGTAGAGGTAATCTACTAAATCATTAGCACTGAAAATTTCTCCTAAAAAAAAAAACATCTGGCATATACACTCAGAGAGAAATGAGGACATTACATATAGGGGAATACCTCTTGCAGAAACAAGCAATTGATTTTCATTTAATATTTAATCTTTTTGTAAAATGGAAAAAAACAGTCTTTGGTGATTTGATTATATTTGATGTTTGCCTCTACATCGTGGTAGCTTGGAGAATACAGTAATTCATTTAATGTACCTTGTATATGTTTTACTGGAGTTGTTCCTATAGAGTTTGTAGTACTGCATACTATACAAACAACATGAAAATCGGGCATTGAAAATAACTCTTTTGATTAATATGCAGAAAATCTATAGGCAATTCTGACATAAAAATATTTATTCTCGCTCCTTACTCTCCATCAGCTACCAGAAACATTTCTCACAATAATCCTAAGTGTTCTTGAAGATAGGATAGTTCTTCAAGGGATAGATGGTTATCATTTAAAATATTCACAACAACCTCAGTCATGAGGGGTTGTCAAGTACTGTATAATAAGAAGCTGGAGCAAAACAGAAAATTTAGGCTAATAGGAGATAATGGAAAAACAGTGTTAATACAAATACTTTTAAAATGACTTAATATTTAAAATGTATCAATATTGACCCTTTACTTCCTCCAGCCCTCCTTTCCCCACCACCTTCTTTCCTCCCTTTCTCCCTCCTTTCCTAGTATAGTCTTTTAATTTAAAAAATTTTATCTGTGACTATTTCTTAGAAAATATGTCCCATTCGATTTTAAAAGAAACCTTAATATTTGCATTTTTTTTCTGAGAAGGAAATGTGTTACCCACACAGTATTCTGTGATGCAAAAGAACTATGTTGATCAAGGTATCACCAGTGCTTCTAAAAGTGTTTAAGAAAAAAATCTATTTTTAGTTTATATATTTTTCATCATTTTTATTCTAATACTGCAAGCCATTTTTTATGTGGACATGGTTAAAGCAATACAATTCAAAATTTCCAATACTGCTGTACCAATAGTTGCACATTGGCTATAATACTGACTATTATCTGAGGGTGGTTTGCCTCATTCTTCCTCAATAAAAGTAATTGATTAAAAGCAATGGCTTCAGAATAATGTCAGACATGCACATATCTCATCTCAGTACATAACCATTATAATGTTTTCATGGATGTACTTCTACACCAAAACTGGACATTTGGTGAAATTCTTACTCCTCAGCTTTGATTCTCACCTCCATATGACCATGTAAATTTTCCCCATCATCCTCCAAAGGCCCTTCATTGTTCTAGGACAAAGTCTAACAATCCTTAGCATGGCTTATAAAGAGCTTTATGATCAAGCCTCTGTTGATCTACGCCACACACACACAAGCACACACACACACAGTCAACTCCTTAGTGCAATGTTCTCCAACCTCCTTATAGATGTTTAAGTCAAACAGTTAACACTATAATTTTCTTACATGATACTTACTACAGTTTGTAAATGCAAAACTGTAGCCTCTATGGAGCAGGGTCTATATTTGTTTTGCTGACCAATATATCTCTAGGAAACTGCAGAATAGAGCTGATGTCAAAATAAGTATTTCAAAATTAAGGACTGGTTTATATATTTTCATTTTTTCAAAAGCTCATATTTTTATGCTTTAATTTTTAATTATTTAATATTCCCAGTATAATTTTGTATTCATATTTGTATGTAAGCCTCTATGTATGTACATTTCAGTTATTAACTTTAATCCTGGCATTGTCAGAACTGGTCCTTTTCTTTAGAATTCTACAACCATTTTACTGCTCAGACTCTTGCAATTAAATCTAATTATTGTATCTTCATGTTTTCACTTGGAAGTGTAGTTGGCTATTATCCTGAGATTGGTTTCAGGCCAGAATTTTCAAGATTTGGCTTTACTTGATTCCTGTTTCTCATGCTGCTCATTCCATTTCTTGGTCTGCAATGACTTTGCCCATTTGCTTCGACTGCCTGAGCTCTGAACTTTTCTTTTTTTTTTAAGTGTCAGATTGTATTAAACAGGTTGGCAGGAGACAGCGTTGATTGAACAAGCTTTGATTAATAATGCAGTGACGGCCCAGCCATGAGTAGGAAGGAACTGCCTGAGCAATACTCCCCAGGTTTGCATGACCCCTGTGGTTCTTACGTCTGAGCCTATAATGCCAGAAGAGAAGCGTCTGTCCAGAGATTATTTTATTTTATTTTATTATACTTTAAGTACTGGAATACATGTGCAGAACTTTCATTTCAATACAATAAATCAGTTTTCTCACAGCACCCTTTGGAACTTGTGGGTGGTTTGGAATCTCAAATATTGACAGTCAATGATTGTCTTTTCATATATTTGATTTCTCTGTTGGTTTCCCTGTAATATGGGTCCTCTTTGACTTGACTTTTAATATTCATAGCATTATTGACTTCAGCTTATCTAATTTTGCTTCAAACTCTGTTTTTGAGTGTGTTTCTTCGAACTATATCATACACCAGTTTCCTAATATAATTTAGATTTTATGGTAAAGTGAAATTTTAGTGCCCTTAAATATGTCGCCTTTAACATATGGTGCCTCAATTTATTTTCAAATGTCAAAATGTAATTAATAAACAAAAAATAAAAAATAAGGTCTAGGTGTGGCGGCTCACGCCTGTGATCCCAGCACTTTTGGAGGCCAAGGCGGATGGATCACTTGAGGTCAGGAGTTCAAGACCAGCCTGGCCAACATGGTGAAACCCCATCTCTACTAAAAATACAAAAATCAGCTCGGGTGTGGTGGCGGGCACCTGTAATCCCAGTTATTTGGGAGGCTGAGGCAGGAGAATCGCTTGAACCCAGGAGGTGGAGGTTGCAGTGAGCCAACATCATGCCATTGCACTCCAGCCAGGAGTGAAACTCTATCTCAAAAAAAAAAAAAAAGATTCTTGACTATTAGTGAAGGATTGAATATATGCTTAAATATTTTGTAAAGCATAACTCCTACATAGAGTTGCTGGACTTAGCAAATAAAACTAAAGTACACTTAATTAAGTATGTCTTAAATTACATATTCCTATATTTACTCACATAACGTAGTATTTGTTATTTATCTGAAATTTACATTAACCTGAGAGCCCTGTATTTTACCTAGCAACCTATTACCACACATTATCTAATATTTATAATTGACACATTTATTTTTATTAATAGTTAAACCAGAATTGGCAGATATCAGAAACCTTAGATTTGAGACCTAGAAGGAAGTCTTATTTAGAATAATTATTAACTATTCAATATCTTGCATACAAAGTATTCATTTTATAGAGCTATTTTTTAAATATCAGGATTTTTTGGCTTTATCTAAACCACATCTTTAAATGGGGGCTTATTTAATTACTTTTTTTTGAGTAATTTTTGCGATCATAATTTTTGTTCTTTCCTTTTTTGCTTGTCACTATAACCTCTGCCATTTTTACCACTTTTTATTTTTTATTATACTTTTCTCTATTTCCTAAGTGGATTTTTCTTAATTCATTTTGAATTTTCAATTGCTGTCTTCTTGTTATCTATTCTTCCTGAAGAAATCCCATAAATCAACTAAACACCTGATTCAGATTAAATGCTTTATTACTTGATGACTCAACAAATATTTTAATGATATTTAATATTTAATAACATTTTAATGACTTAAGAACTTTTATCACTGACCACAAAAATCAGGTAAACATCCCCTGAAAGACACATGAGAGGCATTCAGTTTCTTAAATCAAATTATTAATATATGTATATAACACAGCTATACTTGTATGTTTTCAAAAACAAGATAATTCCTCAAGAAAATGCTTTTATAATTAAATTATCATACAGAAAAATACATAACTGAAACATTTCCAAAAATTGAATATAATAAAAATATATCACTGTGAACCATTTGAAAAGACACACAGATTCATTCAGGAGTAGGCCCATTTTAAGAATTTAAACACTTAAGGCACATCAGAAACAATTCCAGCAATAAGTCATTGGTTTGTCAAAGCCAGTATAACAATACCCTCATTAACTATTTTGTGAGTGCTTAGTGTGTATGAGCCAGGATTGCACTTACTTAGCTAGCATTTTACCTTCATTTCCACGTTCCATCTTTACTTTAACACTGTGAGATAGCAATATTCTTCTTGCTTTTCAGAAGAGAAAATGTATGGCCTTTTAGAACAGATTTTTTAAATTTCAAAAAACAAAATGTATATTAAGCAATTATATTTAAATGTGCTTTAATATTTAAGGGTAGGTAAAATAAAAATAGGTAACTTTTGTTTTTAACCATTATCACTACTTATCTTTTTCTGGGATAGAAACTCTTCATTGCTCCTCACAAGGAAATAGAATATTGCATCTGAGACAATTGCATACTAACACAGTTAAACCTCAATTTCCACCCCAGTATGCTAAATGCTAGCAGTGATTTTGGGCAAAATACCCTTAGGCTTCATTTTCTTATCTGTAAATTTAGGTTAACAGTCACTATATCATAGGGCTGCTGTGGCAATTAAATCAGACAATAGATAAGACAGACTTAGTATCTGGCTCATGGTCATTATTCAATAACTTTTGGTAATCATTAATTTAGCTTATTGTAGACTAAATTTTTCCAGGTTAGGTTTTGTCTCTCTTGTTACCACTTTTTTCTTTAGTTTATATTGAGTCAAAATTGTCTTTTGGCAGTTTTCTTTAGTGTTTATCTCACCTCAGTTATCAGAGGTCCATTTTGCCTTCCTAAATTCTTAGTTTATCTATTTTTCCTGCTTCTAATCAGCCAAACAAATAGACCATTCTATTACCAGGGGACTTTTCTAATCCAACACTCATTTTTCTATGTCACATTGCAGAAGCAGGAAAACAAAATGATCTGCTATAAAGCATGCATTTGACAAATGTTTTTTTTTTTTAAACCTTGACTCTGAAAAAAAAAATTCTCATTGCTTATTCCTTTAGCAGTAGGTTGGGGGTAAAAAGTAGGCAAGAAGGAACTTGCTTTCTTTTCCATACAAGCAACTACCTTGAATAATTGACACACTATGTGAAATTATCTAAAAACCTTAAAACATGATAAAACTTGATTAGGTTTTTAATTAAAAAGTTAAGAAATGGTCATCATGCTAAGTCAAGCAAACTGGTGTTATGCCTATGTCCCTTCTTCTTAAGATAATCATACAATAGGAATTCAATTGAGTTGTTTTCATTTTTCTTTTTTTAGAACCTTTAATGTAAAATATCTCAACAAATTACATAATTACATCTTCAGAATTTATGTGAAAAATCATGAATAGATATAATGAAATATTAGGCATAGATGCAAAACACATATATAAATGTATAACTGTATATATAGATAAATGTATTTATTTTATATATTTATATATTTATACATAAACATATATATACATATATATATGTTACTGCCTGTGTTTATAGAACTGCACACAGGTAAATATGAGAACTTGATGGAAGCTTATTAAAATATTAATCATTTTGCAGTTGAAGGCCATAATCCTAAAAGAACACAGGAATAGAAAACCAAAGCCTACATGTTCTTATTTATAAGTGGGAGCTAAACACTGAGCACACATGGACATAAACATGGGAACAATGTACACTGTAGACTGCTAGAGCGGGGAGGAGAGATGAAGTCCTGGGTTGGAAAACCACTTGTTGAGAACTATGCTTAGTGCCTGGACGCGGGATCCGTATCCCAAACCTCAACATCATGCAATATTTCCATGCAACAAACCTGCACATGTATGCTCTGTATCTAAAATAAGAGCTGAAATTTAAAAAATTAATACTTTTATCCTGTGATTTGATTTCTTTTGATATGTGTAACTTGGTAGTTTCTGAATTTTCAAACATGAACATCTAATTATACTAAAATCAGATATAAGTAGCATCAAAAGAGAAAAGGAAATATAAGACAAAGAGGGGAAGAAAAATAAAATCAGATAAAAATCATTTCTAAAATGCATTTTTAAAAAGATTAAAATGGTTTGAAAAAAGAAACTAACACAGAAAAGAGACGGTGAGCACAAAGACAGTTCAGTATTAAGCCTGCAGTAAATGGTTTTTGCACACATTTTTACTTTTTCAAAGACAAGGCTAGACAGATGACAGGAGATCCAACATATTGAGAGTGGTGAATAGTTTTTAAGGGTTGATTATGTTCCTGTTTTCTCCCCTTCTACTGCTTCCAACTTAGAGTCCGTCTTTCCAGTAGCAGAGAAAACTTGCAAGAACCAATTATATTATTTTTATTTCTAATGTTTAAAAGTAGTGGGGGTTCCTCAAAAAATAAAAAACAGAATTACCATATGACCCAGCAATTCTGCTACTAGATATGTATCAAAATGAAATGAAGTGAGTATGTTGAAGAGTTGTCTAGACTCCCATGTTCATTTCACCATTCTTCAACATGGCCGAGATGGAATTAGTCTAACTGTTCATCGACATATTAACAGATGAACCAAATGTGGCATATATACACAATAGAATACTCTTCAGCCATAAAAATGAAGGAAATCTTGTCATTTACAAAATAAATGAACCTAGAGGACATTCCATTAAGTGAAATAAGCCAAGTACAGAAAGACAAATAAATACTGCCTGATCTCAGTGATATGTGGGATGTAATAATATTGAACTCACAGAAACACAGAATTGTGGTTACCAGGAACTGGAGACAAGAGGTGGGAAATGTTGGGAAAAAATGCTGGGGGGGTTAATAGTAAAAAGGACATGCATTGAAGAGTGTGATTAAGTAAGCACAAGGGGTAGTTATATAAAAAGTCAAATCAAATAAATATTTTGGAGCATTAAAGTCACAGCCCAGACACATAGTGTCTTGCTGGCCTCTGATGCCGACATCTGCAACTGGTGAATACGTTCTTTATTTGGCTCAGGACAAATTCTAGGATGCCATGATCAGCTTTTAATTGCAAATATTTTCCCCCTCAGAGTTTACTGGCTGTAGGTCTTGGGTCCTGCCATGTACTCCCTTCAGCTTCCTGGCCCAGTGGTCCACCACTAACGTCAACTTTGTAGCTAATAAGTCTTATAATGGTAGGCTCCATAACAAATTTGCTGGCTCTCAACTTAGTGTGGCCATGCAGCCCTGAAAGAAGGAGAGGCTTCTGAATACTTGCTAGTCTGTCTGTCTTTCTCTCTCTCTAACCAGCAAGTTTCTATTCTTGATTAGGCTTTGACTTCCCCATTTTGACACAGAAGAGTGTATATGTAGAACTCCTAATCAGAGGGGTATGCATTCTGTAATACCTTCATCTTTCTACCACCTGCACCTCAAACTAAAATCCACAGAAAAGAAATGAGTATGCATGTAAACATTTGATTCTGATTCACCTATATGTTTCTCCTTTATTCACTATAAATTTCAGGAGGGAAAGGGAATTTCCATCTACTTCTCCCTATCTGAATAGTTTTATTACATACAATTCTGTTGCCCAGCCCACAAAACTAAAGTAGGAAGTATAGTTTAGAGAGTGTTTCTCCCACCCAAGTACTAACAAGACCTGACCCTGCTTAGCTTCTGAGATCAAATGAGATCAGGTGTATTTAGAGTGATATGCCTGCAGACTTAGACTATGTCACAAGAAAATAGCCTTGTGATTTTTACACCAAAATTTTGAATGTCACCAGCTAAATATTATACTTTATCTTCACATTTTTTCATGCCTAATCCTAATCTCTTACAAGGTAAAGAGACAAATTGGTTGAGACAGAATAAAAGTCATGTATTTAAAAAGGGAAGAAAGAAGTTTTTAATTATTACCCATTATGCAAGTGTGTTAGTCCATTCTCATGCTGCTAATAAAGACATATCTGAGACTGGGTAATTTATAAAGAAAGAGGTTTAGTTGACTCACAGTTCAGCATGGCTGGGGAGGCCTCAGGAAACTTACAATCATGGCAGAAGTGGAAGCAAACATGTCCTTCTTTACATGACAGCAGGAAGTGGAAGAATGAGAGAACTTCCATGCTAAGGTGGGAAAATCCCCTCACAAAACTATCACATCTCATTAGAACTCACTCACTATCACAAGGACAGCATGAGGGAATTGCCCCCATTTTTCAATCACTTCCCATGGGGTCCCTCTCCCAACATGTGGGGATTACAACTTGGATTATAATTCAAAATGAGATTTGAGTGGCTACACAGAGCCAGACCATACATTCCACCCCTGGCCCCTCCCAAATCTCATATCCCTTTCACATTTCAAAACACACTCATGCCTTTTCAACAGTCCCTCAAAGTCTTAACTAATTCCAGCAAAAGTCCAAGTTCAAAGTCTCATTTGAGACAAGACAAGCCCCTTCCACCTGTGAGCCTGTAAAATCAAAAGCAAGTTATTTACTTCCTAGATGCAATTGAGGTACAGAAATTGGTACCTCAATTAAATATACTCATTAAATACACTCATTCCAAATGGGAGAAATTGTTCAAGACAAAGGGGGTTACAGGCCCCATGCAAGTCCAAAATCCAACAAGAAAGTAATTAAATCTTAAAGTTCCAAAACATCTCCTTTGACTCCATGTCTCACATGCAGGTCATGCTGATGCAAAAAGTGGGCTCCCACAGCCTTGGGCAGCTCCCCCCTTGTGACTTTGCAGGATAAAGACCCCTCCCAGCAGTTTTCACAGGCTGGTGTTGAGTGTCTGCAGCTTTTCCAAGCACACGGTGCAAGCTGTTGGTGGATCTACCATTCTGGAGTCTGCAGAATGGTGGCCCTCTTTCCACAGCTCCACTGAGCAGTGCCCTAATGGGGACTCTGTGTGGGCTCCGACCCCACATTTCCCTTCTGCACTGCCCTAGCAGAAGTTCTTCATGAGGACCCCACCCATGCAGCAAACCTCTGCCTGGACATCTATACAACCTCTGAAATCTAGGTGGAGGTTCCTAAACATTAATTCTTGAGTTCTGTGCATCCACAAGACCTACAGCACATGGAAGCTGCCAAGGCTTGGGGCTCACATCTTCTGAAGCAATGGCCTGAGCTGTACCTTGGCCCCTTTTAGCCATGGATGGAGTGGCTAGGAAGCAGGGCACCAAATCTCTAGGCTGCACACAGCAGGGGGGCCCTGGGCCTGGCCCTGGCATGAAAGGGGCTGCTGTGAATATCTCTGAAATACCCTGGAGACATTTTCCCCATTATCTTGGTGATTAATATTCTGTTCCTTTTGTACTTATGCAAATTTCTGCAGCAGGCTTGAATTTCTCTTCAGAAAATGGGGTTTTCTTTTCTACTGCATTGTCGGGTTGCAAATTTTCCACACTTCTATGCTTTGCTTCCTCTTGAACACTTTGCCACTTAGAAATTTCTTCCACCAGATACCCTAAATCATTTCTCTCAAGATCAAAGTTCCACAGATCTCAAGGGCTAGGGTAAAATGCCACCAGGCTCTTTTCATACCAAGAGTGACCTTTACTCCAGTTCCCAACAAGTCACTCATCTCCATTTGAAGCCACTTCATCCTGGACCTTATTGTCCATATCACTACCATCATTTCATTCTGAGCCATTCAACAAGTCTCTGGGATGTTCCAAACTTTCTCACGTTTTTCTTGACTTCTGAGTCCTCCAAACTGTTCCAATGTCTGCCTATTACCTAGTTCCAAGGTTGCTTCCATATTTTTGAGTATTCTTATAGCAGCACCCCACTCTACTAGTACCAATTTACTGTATTAGTTCATTCTCACGCTGCTGATAAAGAAAGACCTAAGAATGGGTGATTTATAAGGGAAAGAGGTTTAATTGACTCACGGCTCAGCATGGCTTGGGAGGCCTCAGAAAACTTACAATCACGGTGGAAGAGGAAGCAAACACATTCTTCCTTACGTGGCAGCAGAAAGGAGAAGAATGAGAGAATTGCAGAGCAAAGAGGGGAAAAGCCCCTCACAAAACCATCATTTCTGAACTCACTTACTGTCCTGAGAACAGCATAAAGGAAGTGCCCCCATGATCCAATCACCTCCCATGAGGTCCCTCCCCCAACATGAGGGAATTACCATTCAGATTCTAATTCAAGATGAGATTTGAGTGGGGACACAGAGCCAGACCATGTCAGCATACTATCACAGACACTTTGAAAAAAACTGCTTCAATAACTATATGCTGTCCTACAAGGGGGTTGTAACATAACCCATTTAAATGGCTTCATAATATTCCAAATTTAATTAAATTTTACATTTTATATTTGTGTGTATTATCTCTTTCCAGAAATTAATATACTAATGTCATTGTCAGATAAACATTTATTCTAAAGTTGTTATTATTATTATTCATAGTTCTTAAACTTGGGGCTTCCATATTTGGAAATATCAGCATTCAGATCAGTGAGATTACCTGTCAGAAAGATGCTAGAAGACATGTCAGTTTAATTGTGCCTTTTAATTTACAGATTTTCTTTTTCCATGAACAACTGCCTTTTTTATTTGTAACTTTTTGTCTTTATGTATACTAGAAAATATCTTCAGTATCATTAATGGCTTTTCTTATTCATACCACATAATTATATTTAATTCATATGAATTAAATTCATATTTAATTAATATGAAGACAATTTACTATAATCTTTCATTTTTAGAAAAGCAATGTGTGGGCTCTTTAAATAAAAATTAATAGTTCATTGAATATGAATAATTATCTAGTATTTTATACTTTTTATATAAATTCACTAAGAAATTTTACTGCATAAATACACTCATTCCAAATGGGAGAAATCGGTCAATCCTTTTCCAAGATTCTTCATAGCTGCTAAGTATTTTAAGGTCTTTAATTTCTAATGTAAAAGTCTTAATTAGTCCAATTATTTTCTCTTAGTTATAATATCATTTTAAAAAGTGTTTTGGGGACCAGTTCTTTCTATAGTTACTAGGAATTCAAGAGTGATTATAACTTACTAAAGTGGGATCCATTTGATCTCACCCTCTGGAAGAGATTTAGCAATATACTATCTAAATAGCATTAAAGCAATCCATTTTATTCATGTAAACTCTGAGAAAAACACATTATTTATTTGTACTATTTCAGCCAAATTCCAATACAACATATAGTTTCATTACAGGAACAGAACTTAGTAGTCCTTAAGTGATAAAGGAAAGTACACTAAAACAATATATTCAGAGTTTAGGGTGGAGGCTTGGAGCTCATATTTATCATTGCCTCAGCCTCCTTTAGTGTTTCAAACTCTTGCGGCTGTACACAAAAGGACTGATAACAGAATCACAAGCCTAGTACAATTTTAACAGCTGAACATGCACACAATCTACTCAAATGCACAGTGTTCTAAATATTTAGAGAATAAATCTTAGATGATAAGTTTAAGTAAGGCTTTCTCTTCTCTCACCATTATAGATAGCTGATCACCCTAAAAAACTCTGCATCTACTTAAACCTTTGAGATTCAGGGTTGCTGAATAAGTAACGTGCTTGCAAGGAGAGATGCCGTACAGACTCTACTCTAGAAAGCAGAGGGGTGTAAAGAAGTCCACTTACGTGTCCTAACTTCAACAGAAGAGTGTCCAGGGTTTTAAGTATCCTACATACTGAGCAATAGAAATAGCAACATTTTCTCTGAAAACAAAAAGGTAAATATGGAGTAGACAGAGAAAAAGAGGTAAGGAAACAATGTTGGAAGTTCCCTCTCTGTTGTGAATTTTTCAAGCTAGAATATTAAATCTCTATTAGTCTTCCAAATTAAGGAACACCCTCAGACTCAGACTTTTTACGAGAACTAAATTGATTCATCACATCTGTTAGGTTCTTATTGATCATTCCAGTTCCTTATAATAAAACTGTTTCTTCAAGCAGCATGTTTTTAACTTTAGCAATTATATTGTAACATTGAATAAAACATAGATTTGGGAAAACTACTGTTCGCTAGCTCATTTTCTTGTTTCACATGAAAAGAAGTGTACATTTAGTTTATTAACTATTGAATTAAACATAGCAATGTTACCATCTTAGAAGGATTTTATAAAATTTAGATATTTATGAAAAGGTTTTATAAAACTCCAAAAAGAATAGAAATTTTAACTGACATAATTATTGGTAGTGTGATAAAATGTTTCAACATGTTTTGGACACATGCAAATAGGAACCAAACGTATTGTATATTTACCTCATAAATAAATATAGCAGTTATGAATATCAATCACGATATTCAGATTCAGGTATGTAAAAACTTTATTTTCAATAGCTCATATTCTGATATTTTCTTCCATGGAACTGGCAGGTAATCTTGTTTCCACACATACAACCCATCCCTAGAGATTGTGTCACAATTCTGTTTGTTACAGAATGTAAACATTTGAAGACAGCAGGGCAGATACTCAGCTCACATACGTTACTGCAAACCCATCTCTCATGACTGCCTTGAAGGTATCCATCAAGTTCAATGAGTTTTCATAGTTTTCTGAGACATTCAGAATATTTAACTATTTTTCAAAAGTTGCTTATCATCTCATCTGCCTAAATATTTTATGTGGCCCACACTCTCTCAACTTACTGCCTCCTCCTCATACTGCCAGAAGCTTAACCCTGTTCACCATTTTCTAACTGATTCTTTCGGAGATAACTGTAAATTCCATGTTTGAGCCTCATGATGACTTCCATGGAGTTTAATAGCTGACAGGTATCCCTTGATGTGCAGCTTGTCTGTTCTTCTACTCTGAAGAGCTAAGGTGTTTTCACGGTAGCGCTATAAATTTATTATTTTTAATAATATTAAGGAAAAACTTGAGGCTAGTTTCCAATGTTGATAACTCAAGGACACTTTCTGTCTAAAAGAGATGTAGCAATCTCAAAAAGAATAGCACATGCAAATTATATTGTAATTTTCTGATCATTTGTGATGCTTTAAAGAAGTTTCCATGTATAAAAAGTGAAGAGGACAATGGAAGAAGTTAGCAAAAGAAATATATATTGAATATATTAATTATAAACACATTAACTTAATATAATTTAATATGTATGTAGCAATTTTTCTACTTGCCAGGTGCCTGAACAAAGCAAAAAATAGTAAAACTTTTGTGTCTACATTCTCACCTGATACAGTGAGAATGTTTTTCTGATAACCTCTTGAAATGTATTGTCTTGCTTGATTTTAAAACAGTATATCTTCATGTTGTTAAGAAATATCACTGAATATTTCAAAAGTCAAAAGTATAATTAATACTTGGCTGTTATAGTTCAAAATAAAATACTTTTTTATTGCGTTTTTAACAAATCTTTGAAACTGGCTTCATATTTAGTATTGTATATTCCAATTTTTTAGATAAGTCTAGGTGTACATTTAGTTTGTTTTTAAATTCTAATGAAATATATTGGCAAACTTCTTGAAGAAATATGACGTATCTTGGCCAAACAAAACCATTCTAGGTGTACATTTAGTTTGTTTTTAAATTCTATGAAACATATTGACAAACTTTATGGAGAACTATGACATATCTTGGCCAAATAAAACCATTCTGAAAAGCAAATGGCTTATTCTTTTAATGTAGTTTAAAATTATGTGTGCTGATTTCTGTTAGTACGAAAAATAATAAATAGATTAAACTCGTGAGCTTTCCCATCACAAAAAAGTTCTCTGCCAAGAGGAAAATTCTGCTCAAGGCTGAGAAATGTGTCGTGTGGGAGGATGTACAGTGTAGTTTGCCTCCATTTCTAAAGCGTGCATTTCTAATATGCTGCTAAAGGGTAAAACATATCTCCCCGTAGAACATGGCATGATTCTCTTCACTCTATTTTATGCTTTCAATCTATTGTTCCACAGATTTTTACAGAATGAAACCACCTTAAAACTTATTATTTCACTAACCTGCAATTTAAATAAATTAGAAATGTGCTAAGACACATCAGAGCATGAATAAAAATAAATATCAGGGAATTCTTCACAAGCCAGTAAGAAATAAACATAAAAATGATAACACAGTAATATTACAGGAAGCTACCAACAATTGTTTCATTTTTTTCATAAAAGAATTTAAGTGTCAAAATATTGTTATCAGAAGATCGCAACTGACTTTCTTTAGATGGAAGCTATATTGCTAAAAGGCACAAGTCATTAATAAAAATGTATAGACTGTAAGGACAGATATTAAAAAGTATTATTTTACTTCTGGTTTCAAATCCAGCATGAAAAGAGTTTGCAAACAGTCACTTTCTTATGATAAAAACAATCCTAAAAAAACTGAAATTCATTTTTCTTTCACTAATCAGAAAACTAAGTTTGGAGGGCAAACTGCCATACGAAAATGTGGAAAGACAGATGAATCTGCAGAGTCAAAGACAAGATCTGCTTACCTGGAGCAGAAGCCATAAACTGAGAAACTGGACTTCAACAGAAAGGGAGAAATAAAGACTATCCCAGGCTCTGAAAGACATACGAAAGTAACTTCTTCAGGGAGAAGGAAAATCATATAGGTAAGACATTCAGATCTATATAGAAAAGGGAAGAGAAGGTATACATGAAGGTAAAATAAAACTATTTTTTATTAGTTTAGAAAACTATTTTTATGCCTAATTGATCTAAGAGACAACTGTTTGTTTAAAATAATTATAGTACATATTGACCATCCTTAATTTGAAAATCTGAAATCCAAAATGCTCTAAAATCTAAAATTTTTTGAGTTCCGACATGATGTCACAAGTGGAAAACTCCACATTCGATCCCACGTGATAGGCTGCAGTGAAAATGCAGTCAAAACATTGTTTCAGGCACAAAATTATCTAAAGTATTGAATAAAATTATCTCCAGGTTGTGTATAAGGTGTAAATGAAACATACTTTAATGTTCACACTTGGGTTCCACCCCATAGACATCTCATTATGTATATGCACATATTCCAAAATCTGAAACATTTCTGGTCTCAAGAATTTCAGATAAGGGATAGTCAACCTGTAGCAAATGTACTGGATGATTATAGCACATATTGTAAATAAAATGAATGATAGCAATATCATAAGTAACTGGAGGGAGAAATTGGAATACTCTGTTAAGAGGTCACGGCACTATATGTGAAATGACACAGTGTTATTTGAAGGTAAATTAACATTAATTGTGTATGCACACTGAAAAATCTAGGGCAAAAACTAAAAAATTTAAAAAGAATATAATCAATATGCTAAGAAGAGAGATAAAACAGAAAAGCCAGAGGCAGAAAATTAGGTAACAAAAGGAGAAAAAGAAACACAACAAATAGAAAATGACTAAAACATGAAAGTTATAAATCTGTGTCACAATCACTTTTTCAATGAATGTTCTAAATACACCAGTTAACAGGTATTATAAGGGATGATTTAAAAACAGACACAACTATATATTGCCTATAAGAAACCAAATTGAAACATAGAACCGTATTTTATAAATTTTATAAATATGGTATTTATAAATAAATGTCATACTTTTATAAACTCAGATACACCTTGCTGAGTAATCAAAAAAGTTGGACTAGTTATATTAATTTCTGCTTTCTACAGGGAAATCTGTCACTGATAAAGTTGAGCATTGTGTAATATTTAAGTGGTCAATTCTCCAAGACACAGCAACATTAAATTTGTATGTACTAACATCAGAGTGTCAAAAATTAATGAGTTTAAAACTGATAGAATTAAAAGGAAAAATACATATATTTATTATGATAGGTGGAGACTTTAACACCCCTCTGTTAGTAACTAATGTCAAGCATGCAGAAAATCAGTCAGATTGAGATAATCTCAACAGAACTATTAATCAACTTGATCTATAATACCATAAATATATGGAATACTCTATCCAACAACAGCACAATATACATCCTCCTCAAGCACATATATAACATTAACCAAAATAGACCACATTGTGTGCTATAATACATAAGTATTTTATGAAATATAAGTAATACAAAGTTTCTTCTTAGGCTACAACAGAATTAAACTGGATCTCAATAACATAAAGTTAGCTGAAAATTTTCCAAATATCTGGAAATTAAAAAATATATTTCTAAATAAATCACAAGTCGAATAAGTTATCTCAAGAAAAAATTTTAAATATTTAAAATTTTTCGTTTTAAGGTAAATGGAAATTAAAATCAACTTAACATGAAAGAGATAAATAAAAGCAGTGCATAGAGGGAAATTTATACTATTAAATGCCCATATTAGAAAATAATAAAGACCTAAAGTCAAGTTTAGATTCTACCTTATAGCAATTTAAGCATAAACCAAACAAAATCAAAGATGATAAAACTTAAATACTAATCAATTAATTTAGAAAAAGGAAAACATTTAAAAGAACCAGCAAATTCGAAGTCTGATTCCACAAAATTTAAATGAAGTTGATAAGCCTCTGGTTGGGCTTACTATGAAAAAAATTGAAGACATAAATTACTACATACATACTTCAGCTTTGACCACTGGACTTTGGAGGTCGTATTTCCAGAACCATCTACAGAATAATATGAAGGCAAAAGTCTGATTGGAGTCGATTGAAAAGACAATGATATTGAGCAATAGGAGACAAAAGTATATTCCCTTTAATATCTTGAAAAGTGTTGCTGAAAGATGGGGAGGAGAAAAAGTGACCACTATCCAAATTGGAGTCAGTGAGTATAATAAGATGGGAGTAATACAGCATGCTTATAAGCTCATAAAAATGGTCCAGAGAAAAGAAAAATTTGATGACAAATAAATAAGATGGTAAAATTGCTGGCATAGTGGCTTTTAAAAGAGTTAACAAGGATGAGATTTAGCACAGTTTAGTTAAAGAAACAGGACAGAAGACATGATTAAGGAGACTGGTGGGTATTGGATATGGTGGTGGTATTTTGAGTAAATCCTCTTCTGATTGCTTCAGGTCCACAGGAAAGTAGAAAGAATGCACTTGGGGTGATTGTTGAAATGAAATTACTGAGCATTTGAGAAGAGAAGAGAAGGCACGTGGTCATGTTTTAGAGGGGTTAGAGAATAATGGACAAGGGAAATATAGTATGATTGGCAGAGAGCATTAACTTTCCTGGTCACTACTTAATTTAACTACTTCGTTTGACTTTTAAAAAGGTTTTTATGCTATTATTAGAAGTATTATCTTACTATTTTAGTAAGTAAATAAAACCTGAACTGGTATATTGGCAAAATAGAGAGTTTAGTTTTTAATAAACTATATATTAAGAGGTTTTTAATAATATAGTATTTTACTTTAGGAAAGCAGACTTATCTTAATCGAATTCTAAATCATTGATGTAAAATCCAGATACTGTATTAGGTGGAAGTAAAATCTTGTTGCAAGTGTATGGATACATCTGCATGGAGCCAATCTAGAAAATTCAGGCAGTAGACTTCTTTTATATAGTAAGACTAGTTTATAAACAATTCATTTAAAAATGTCTGCATGAACTTCATAGATAATTTGAGACTGTTTTACTACAGAATTTTGTCTTTGACAAACTTAATAGGCAGTGCATACAAATAGGTTCTTATAAAAAGAAAGCCATAAAGTTTATATATGACCTACCTGTTGCACAGATTAATTACGTCACACTAGAAACACTGTGATTTATTTACATTCCCTTTAATATATTCTTGAGGGCTCTTTACAACTTGTATACGACAGTGCTGACCATAGAGAAGCATGCAAATTCTTTTCACCATCACTTTATGTTTCAGATAGTATATTCTGTTAGGCTCCTGGAGAGAAAATTAATTTGAATATTTTTCTTATAAAGTGTATATATATTACAATGTTTGAATGGCTTATTATGTCCTCTTTAATGTTACCTATTTATCTGCTGGCCTTTTTGTGATGTTCAATTGCCGCTTGATAATAAGGATTCACAGCAGTATGTGTTTTGGTAATAGAAAGTCGAGTTGAAATTATAGGCAACTGTGAATTAGAACTGAAAGTTAGTATCCCTCCTATTGAGATGAGTATTAAAGTTAATTTTTGTATTTTAAAATACAATCATGCAATCTACTCCAAATTAATTCTTTTCTGAATAATGGAATCATAAAATATTGCACCAGTGAGAAGTAAACAATTTATCTATTTATCCTTATTTAGCAATGAAATATCTATTTTCAGAAATATTTTTGGAAGAATAAATTCACCTGTTTTAAAAGTCACATCTTTTAGGTGTTGACTTCTGCCTTCCCTATAAATCAAAGCAGAAGGATGCAGCCAGGCTCAGTGGAATAAACAGTACAGCCATACAGGGGGAAAACTGTTCATAAACCTGAGTAGAACATCTTTGCTTGATAGAATTCCTTGGCTCTCAATATTCTTATTTAACAAACATCCACAGAAACAGCCATACAAGGTCAATCTGGAAAAAAAAAAAACAACTTCTACTAGGTATCTTCTGTGAACAAATCATTGAAAAAAGCAGACACCCACTCTCTCTCACACGATGCTTCTGTTGGATTATCTATTTTAACTTAGTAGCACTCATACGTCATTACAAGTAATTTTTTACTTTTTTCAGAATTTTATTTACCATGTGGTTCTGGATTAGAATCTAATGATAGAAATGCTTTGTAGATATCTGAAAAATGAAAAAGAAAGACATGTTATTTTCTGGAGATGGGGAGACAAGTGAACAGATGTGGAGTTTACTGAAGCTTCAAAGTGAGTCTTTCTAAACTACCAGCTTTATTTTTGCATATTGAGATAGAACCTTACAAAATCATTGGAAGGAATAGGGGAGAGACTGGTAGAGAAGCTGTCACCAATGCTTTTATTTGCAGAAACAAAATGGGCTTAATGTGAATCTCCAGATCCTTTGTAGATTTTTTGCAACACCTTGGCTTACATGCAGTCTTCCTGAACCTGAAATGAACACATGGATCCAAAGATGGTGTAGTGACAGTTTGACTCACCTTCAATGATCACTTCCACCTCTGGGGTGTGGAGCTGCCAATGCCAGAGGGTTTGTTGCATCTTTTTAAATTTGGCATGTGAGGCAGCCAGCATCATTGTCTTTTCTTGATCAAGAACAATTTTCTTTTTGAAAATATTGAGAGACAGAGACTTCCTGGATGACTCAGCCATAAATGGAAGGGGACTGTCAGCAAACCTTTGCCTTTTTGCATTTGATTTTCATTAAAAGAATGCCCCTTAGAGTCTTGGGGCATTCTTTAATGTCAGCGAAGGCAAAATAGAGCTTCTATTTAATTATATTTTAACCTTTTAAAATTTGGATTGTTGTCTATGGTTTAAAATTAACATAATAGTTCTAATATTATTTAACTTATAGAATACAATATTAATATCTATCTCTTGTAGATATAAGCCAGTAAAATGTTGCTGCTATTAGTTATAATCAACATTGTTTGAGAATAATTGAACTGCATAATGTATTATCAATTGGTAAACGAAAACTATTGGTATTTTTTTAATAGGCATCTTGGTTTATATGCAATGCTACGACTAATGGACAGTAAATTGGAAAAGGTTTATATCAAATTGTGGAAGCAACTTTGAGCTCATCATATAAATTGTGGTCATAACTTTTCAAGAAATAAATAATAGTGGAGTCAATTAATGTGAATTTTCTTGTGTCTCACTGACAACTCCTTGGTTATAACATACACTTCCCTGGCCTTTGATTGCTTTACTTTCTCCTAGCTTGTGTGCAATACCTGTGTAGTTCTGAGTATTTATCTGATCTCTTTAGTAGTAGATTAAAAAGTGATTCCTGTTCAAAGACATGAGTTCAGATTCAAGTCAAAATAATACTTCTGTGCCATATAAATTTCCCAGTGTCAAGTTACTTCTAAGTTAACAGGTAATGTCCCCTCCCACCTCCATCATAAGATGTTAGCTTTTACTGTATTCAGAGGAGCTTACATTGTGAGTGTCATGACATAGAGCTATGAATGAATGCAGCTTTTTGTTTTCCTCTTTATTAAAAATTCTTGTCCAGAAAATCAAATTAGGACCTAAGCAGAGACATCTATACCCATTTTCCCAAAGTAGAAACATTAAGAATAACTCCAAAAATTCGGCCAGCCAAACCATCCTTAGTTGTCTAAAAATACATGTTATCCTCACTACATAAGGACTCTGTCAAATAGCAAGAGGCAGTGGCATTAATGATGATATGTAGAATAAGCTGGAATTTTTTTAAAAGTGGAGACACAATACGTTAGGTTGGGAAGGAATTAATATAGATAAGCATCAGGAAGACAGAATTGGAAATCAAAGAGCAGGGACAGATGGGGAAGAGTTTACAGAATGAAAATCTGTGGGATTTGCGAATTAATTGGTTGTGGAGAAGAGGGAATGGTAAACAATTACTCTGAGTTTTCGAATCTAGTTGACTGAACAAATTGTGGTGTTATCTCTCTATATAAAGTGCTTAGGCATGTTTCCCTGAGACTCAGCTGGTCGTAGTTTTTATGATGTTTCCTAGGATTCAGCTGAGTGGGGTTTTCACTCAATCAATCCAATCAATAAACATGTCACACACCGATATCACAGAAAAAATGTAAATCTGAACCTTGGAAAATATATCTAAATATTCTGCATATGTGTAACTGTGTGTGTGTGTGTGTGTATGTGTGTGTGTGAGATGTGTGTGAAGTACAGCATATTAATAGCCTGTACCCAACCATTTATCTCTGCTAAGCACTATTTTAATATGGCTTAATATACATCGACTCATGAACTCACTCAACTTCAAACAAAAATGATGACTAGGTGCTATTATTAATTCAATATTTACAGAAAAGCAAAGTGAGGTTTAAAGAGGCTAAATGATTTTCCAAGGGGCGCAGAACGGGCAGACAGAGGCTTACGTGAAGTCAATCTCATTCTAAGCCTTACAATAATTCCTCATAATGTGCTTCACTATCCAAACCTCGGGTGGTTGGGAAGAGTAGATATATGCAGGCCATAGAATCTGGGATACTTTGGCAAAAACAGAAGGTCTTTGTTGAGATTATAAGTATGGATGAGGCTGCTTGTGGGGGAAGCACTGATACTCAGATTTCCTGAAGCATAGGATGAGAATACCCATGCTAGGAGAATAGGAGAGCAGGTTTAATTCATGCCCCATGGCTGGAACAACTCACCATTCCCATCAGAACCTTGGTGCAGAACTAGACTAAGTAAGGTTAAAGGAGCTGACCAATAAAAGGAGTTCTCAACATTGAAGGGGAATGCTAGGTAAAGAAGCCTGTATTTTAAAATGATTGTAAGATATTTCTTTCACCTTTACATTCTTCTCAAAATCCACTCATAAGGCTTTATCTATGTTCAAGAATATAGCAGTGGAAAACAGGCCCAGACAGACTAAACAATCTAGACTTAATAATAAACTGGACAGACTGACCACTGTATTTACATAGACTGACATGCTTGAAGTACTGACTATGGTAGACCCTTTGAGACCCTAAACAAAATGGACTACTGTGAACATCATTTTACTGCCCAACAGTCATTATCCTTGTTGTCCTTCAGCCTCCACCTTCTGTTTAGGCAACCTGTGTAATTCAAGGGAAGCTGCTGAATTTGAGCTTCAGGGCTTGATCCTGATTAAGAACTGTTATAGTAGCAATTCCACATTTTGCTGGTGAAAGGTTTAGGAGTGGACTTATAGCGCAATCGACTTAATGAGACAAAATATTTTCTGAAAAGTTTCTAATTTTTTTGTCTGTTTGTTTCCAGGAGTAATTCAATCCAGATTGTGAAGAAGTCTTAGTGCCAATTGCTCTGGCAGCCATGTTATGACCATGAGACAATCAGCCATAGAAAGAAATATTCTGCATGATAGTTTAGAAAGAAGCAGGACAGAAACTTCTAGAGTTACACTGATTAATGACTGAATCTGTGAATCCTGATGTCTGTCCTAACTTTGGATACATACTTATATAAGTAAATTATTTTCCTTATTAAAATCTGTCCTTATTTAAGCCAGCATGAGTCAAAGTTTCTGTTTTGGGTAAACAAATGTCTTTTACTGGTATGCTGACAATCTGATTAAACTGAGCAGTCCAGACACATAGATATGACCAGTTATGAATACCAGTTTGGTTTTATCAACAATTTGAGACCTTGACTACTCCAGAAATAATAATACTCTGGTACCTTTGAGTAATACCAGATCGGGATCTCTGACTAATCCTGATAGAGACACAGGTCAAGTACTTAAAAGGTTTCTGCGCACCTGCCCAGCCAACATCTCAGGAAATCAGTCATTCATGTGCAAAGTGAGAGCCTGATCACCCTACCTAGGCTCTGCCATGCTTCTGCATTTAGCGGGTGGGTGAGCTGAAGACCTGGCTCAGCTGGGAAAACTGGGCCTCTTTCTTTAAGTGGTCATTTATTGTAAGCTTTTTCTATTGGTCAAGCAATAATGTATAGGTCAGTCCAGATTCAAAGGGAGTAGAAATAAACCTAGATTTGATTGTTTATTTTCCCATAAAATTAAATTACAAATTACATAGCAGGGGTGCTGACAATGAATACTTGAGTAAAAAAGATTGCTCATATGAGTTACCACATAAAATGATTACATTCCTGATAGATAAATTTTTAGAGTTCCTCTTTTTTAGTCACAATTTATGTATAGTACTTTGAATAAGTTATTCCAATGATTTTTAGGTTGTTTTTCAGAAGTCCCTTGATATAAAGATGAGAGGAGAGGTTGGGAAGAAGCACATGAAGCTAACCCTCAGCCCCCACCAATTCTTCCACATTCTACTCCCTAGCAGCTCAACTTTATCTTTATGTATTGAGCATCTGGGTAATATTTTATTTGGAAAAATAATTCTATTCCTTTTTGTTTAAAGAACTTTGTACATTCTTCTATGACTTTATATGGTTTATAACATTTTAGATATTTGGGATTGTAATAGAACCCTTACTTAAAAAGTAAACCTGTTGTTCAGATCTCTCATATTCAACTACAGGTCATGTTTTCAGAATGACATTGTGCATAAAGCTATGAATCTACTTAAATTTACATAGAGACATATAGTATTATGAAATTGTTTATTACAAAACTAGGATTTTACCTGTTGCATAACTAATACCAACATTAATATTTGATATCGTCCTTGAGGTTGACTAAGAGTAACATTAAATATATTTGCTGTTTTAAAATGATAGTTTTTGTACTTATAAATTAACCTAAAATTATTTTAATCACTATATTATGTGACAAGGTGCCGTTAATTTTAAAATTGTTTGCCACATCGTTTAAAAAATGTGATGACTTCTCTATGTCAAAACAAAAGAAGGTCGAAACAAAGCAAATTTGTTTTATTAATAACATAGTACGTTGTAAGATAGTTATTTTTGTTTTAACCTCAGCTATGAACAATAAAGCAAAAGGAAAATAGACATAAATAGACATATTTAGAAGTTTGATATGAGACAAGACCACAACACTGTACTCCTTCACTAAATTTATCCTCTTCCTTCTCAAGAGTTAGACTTAGGATGGCGCACTTATCTGTTCCATAAAAGAAATTTCTACTGAAAGTAGAAAAAAATAACCTCTGTCTTTCATTATGACCCATCATATTATATCTTGTACATTGAGTAGACAGATGAGGTGAAATTTCTACTTCTTATCACAGTAAGTCAACTTTAAGAATGCCTATATTTTTAGACAAAGGTTTAGTAATTTTCAGTGCTGAAACCTTTAATCATTCATTGTGCCTGTAACAAAAACATAGAACTTATTTCAAAAATAGCAGCCTTGTCATTTGAACTAAAGAAAAAATCCACAATGTTAATAGATCACTGTGACAGTTTTTGTGGTCAGAAATAGGACAGAGGCAAAAAGAGAAAGTACTATTTTCATTTATCTTTCTTAGTAGTATGGACAGTCAGAGAGAGAGAAAGAGAGAGACACACAGAGAGAGAGAGGGCATCTGAACATGCAGATATTTTACTCTGGCTAAAAACAATAAAAAAAGTTTTATCCAGTGGTTTAAACCTTATGTTGACAGATAATAAAACTATTATTTTTTTGTCAGCTTTAAAGAATATTTATTCATCCATCTAATCATTTTATCTTTTGGTTATTCATTTAACAAGTATTTATTGAACACTTCTATTATTTTAAATACTGTGCTAGTTAATGCTTTTCTAACAGTGAAAAAGATACTATTTAACAACATACCAAAACAACATGAAAAATTAAAACATTAAACATAAAATTCAATAATTAGTTTTAGCCCAAACAAGTTTATATAAATATGTGGTAATCATTTCTGACAATGTCCATATGCAGATTCTGCTAACAGAGTTTTCTATATGTTCCATTAATTTAAAAATTAAACTACAGAATATTTCATAGAGGAAAAATTATATAATACAAAATCTTAAGAAATAGAACAGGGAAATACTCAAACAGAAATAATGTTTTACTAAAGACTCAAGTATTATTTAAAAAAAAACTTTAGATGAGTTAAATTTAGCAGAGTATATTTGAGCAAAGAAAAATTCATGAATTAGGCAGCCCTCAGAACAAGGAGACGTTCAGAGATTTCCATCCAGCAATGTGGGCAGGCAGTATTTACAGACAGAAAAAGGAAGAGACATATAGAAAGAGCTTGATAGGTTATAGCTTAATAATCACCTTATATGAATCTAGTGTGATTCGTGTGCAGCCTGTGATTGGTTGAAGTTTGGCTGCTGTGATTGGCTGAAACTCAGCTACATATTACAAAAATACAATTTTAGTTATGTTGCAGTTTGTTTACATACTAAGTTACATTACAGTTTGCTACATACAAAGGCAGCTTTAGACCAAATTTAATTTAACAGTATAATGGAGTATTATATAAACAGTCGTTTTTGTCTTGCTGTCTTGTAAGACACAAATTGCATATTTTTAAAAACTTTATTTAGGCATTAGTGAATTTTTCTATGTTATTAAATGTTGACAGACAGTATTTTAAATTTTAGATAATTCTATGCAAGTATAATTTCTTTTAACATTTACAAGGCCCAATATCTTCAAATTGCATATTAAACCAACATTTATTATGAACTTTGCATAAAATAAACCATATCTTATACAAATATGTATTACATTTTTATCTTACAATCAGGTGGTATGAAAGTATGGTGGGGAGGATTATCACCAAATTCAATTGTAAAAAGAACCAAAAAAAAAATAATAAAAAATAACCTTTCTCCTTCAGATGCAAAGATATGCCTTTTTAGGTATAATGTGTTTTCAAATAAGCAACAATACAGTTCACATTAATTAATTCCTCCAAATTCTAGAAGAAAGAAAACAGAAGAAATTAAAAATTTGGCATAAAATGTATTGAGCATGTACTAGATGACATGCATTGTGGTTAGAAGGGAAGTGAGTTTGTTATTTTCACATTTTCAAGTGAAACCTGAATTTTTAAGGTTTAGAATCTCTCTTACTTTGTTCAGGCTGCTATAACAACATATCTAAGACTGGGTAAATTACAAACAACAGAAATTTATTGCCCACAGTTGTCTGAGATCAATGCACCAGCAGACTAGATGTCTCTGGTGAAGAGCCATTTCTCATAGATAGATGGCACCTTCTTACTGTATCTTCACATAGTAGAAGAGTGAGAGCAAGGCATCTCCTTTCAACCTCTTTTATAAAGGCATTAATCCCAAACATGAAGGCAGAGTCCTCATGGCTTAATCATTTCCCCAAAGGCCTTACCTTTTAATACTACTACATTGGGTATTATGATCCAACCTATGAATTTGGGGGTTATGCCAACATTCTAACCATAGCATTCTGCCCCTGGCTCCCCCAAATTTATATCATTATCATATGCAAAATGCATTCATTTTATTACAATAGCTCCCAAAGTTTTGTTACAGCACCACTTTACATGTCTAAAGTCCAGAGTCAAATTTTCTTTTTTTTTTTTTTGAGACAGAGTCTCATGCTATTGCCCAGTCTAGAGTGCAATGGCACGATCTCAGCTCACATCAACCTCCACCTCCCGGGTTCAAGCGATTCTCCTGCCTCAGCCTCCCGAGTAGCTGGGACTACAGGCACGGGCCACCACGCCCAGCTAATTTTTGTGTTTTTACTAGAGACGAGGTTTCACCATGTTGGCAGGCTGGTCTCTAACTCCTGACCTCAGATGATCCACTCGCCTTGGCCTCCGAAAGTGTTGGGATTACAGGCGTGAGCCACCACGCCTGGCCCAGAGTCACATCTTAATACCTAAATCAGATATGGGTGAGACTCAGGGTACAGATTATCCTTAGGCAAATCACTCTTCAGGTATTAATATGCAAAACAGAAAATGTTGTGTACTTTCAAAATACAATGGTGGAACAGGAATAGAATAGATAGTCCCATTACAAAAGAGGAAAATAGGAAAGAAGAAAAAGGTAATAGGTCCCAATCAAATCCAAAACCCAACAGAGGAAACATTAAATTTTAATACTCCAGAGTAATCTTTTTTGACTGAAAGATATACCTTCCGGCACGCTGGATCAGAAGCTCAGTCTCCAAGGCTTTAGAGGATCTCACTCACATGGCTCTGTTGAGAGTACATACCTCAGTTCTCACTGGTTGGGTAGAGGCTCATGCTGAGCTGGACTGTATGTTGGTGGCTCTACCAGTCTGAGTTCATAGGGTTGGCCCTACTCTCATAGCTCCATTAAGCATCACCCTGGTGGGTACTGCCTGTGGTAGTCCTAACTCCAGGGCACTACTGAACATTGCTGTAGTAGAGGAATATTGTGGTATGTACACCATTTCAGCAGTTCTCTGCCTGAGCCCCAAGACTCTCTGGTACATCCTTTGTCATCTAGGTGGAGGGAGCCAGATCCTTACAACTTGTGTATACTGCATCGTGATAGAGATTGCACCACAAAGATGCAGCCAAGCTTTATAACTTGAACCTTTCAGAGAGGCAGCACAAACTACACTTGGGCTCACTTGAACCTCAGCTGCGGCAGCCAAGTAGCACTGCACCAGAACGGAGGCAGCAGAGCCTTGAGATTGTTCAGTTCCCAAGTCTCCAGCAGTCTGGAACTGTGATGGCTAGGAAAGTCCCAAAGATCTCTGAAACACCTTTAAGATTTCTTCTATTGTCTTGATGAATAGCACCAGGATTCTGCCCACCCATACTAATATCACCATCAGCTGGTCCCTTGGCCACACTCTTGGTGTTCTCTCCTGACCATGCTTTTTTATTTTAGAACATGGCTAGGCTAAAACATTTCCAAATTGAAGTTCTCCTTCTATTCTGTTATTAATTCTATCTTTGATTTGTTTCTCTCGTCTCACATTTTACTATAAGCAGTCAAGAAAAACCATCCCACACACTCGACACTTAGAGATTTCCTCCACCAAATATCCATTTCACTGCTCATAAGTCATAACGTTCACAAAGAACTAAGATAGCAACACTATTTAGGAAAGTTGTTTACCAATTTATAACAATGGTGGCCTTTCCTTTGGGTTTCAATAGCATGTTTCACACTTCCATCTGAGATCTCATCAGAATGGGCTTTACAGATATTTACAATTCTACCAACATTCTAATCGTAACCACTTAGGTAACCTATAAGAAGACTGAGCCTCTCTCTACAGCACTCTTCTTCCAAGCCCTCATCAAAATCAGCCTTCGTGGTTAAGGGCAATATAGGCTTTTTCTAGCGTTTGCCTTCAAACTCTTCCACCCTCTGCCCATTCCCAGTTTCAAAGCTGCCTCCTAATTTTGGGGTATTTGTTATAGCAGCAACCCATTTATCAGTACAAATTGCCATCTTAGTATTTTTCGGGTGGCAATAACAAAATACTTTTGACTGGGTAATGTATAGGTAATAAAAATAAATTGCTAACAGTCCTGGAAACTGGGGAGCCCAAAATCAAAGCAATAGTAGATTTGGTTTCTGGTGAGGAGCTTTTGCCCATAGATAAATGATGCCTTCTTGCTGTGTCCTCATATGGCAAAAGAGGGCAAGGCAGTTCTCTTCAAATTCTTTCATATGAACACAGATTTCATTCATAAGGGCAGAGCCTTCATGACTCAATAGCTTTCCCTAATGCCCCACCTCTTACTATTACCACATTGGGTATTAAGTTCCAACATATGAATTTTGGGAGACACCAATATTCAGAGAATAGCAACATCCCGATCTAGAACTGTACCTTGACCCCCAAAGCCAGACTTTGAAAAAAATTTAAAACATGTAAAATGTTTAATGCCCTACTGCTTCATTGCCATTGTATGAATGCTAATGATAACCTTTACAGATTTCCACAAAACACATTTATGTAAATGGCAGAAAAAGAATTAAAGCCAAAATCCTCCACCTTCAATTCCAATACCCGTTCACTATAACTTGTTGCCTTACTCAATGGGACAAATATTAAAAATATTATACAACATGATTATAAGAAAATGGTTAATGTCCCTAAAAGTGCTATTTTAAAAGAAAACAATGACTGGCTGCAGTGGCTCACACCGGTAATCCCAGCACTTTGGGAGGATGGGGCAGGCAGATCACTTGAGGTCAGGAGTTCAAGACTAGCCTGGCTAACACGATGAACCCCATCTCTACTAAAAATACAAAATTTAGCTGGGCGTGGTGGCGGGCGCCTCTAACGCCAGCTACTCGGGTGGTTGAGGCAGGAAAATTGCTTGAACCCAGGAGGCAGAGGTTGCAGTGAGCCTAGATCGTACCACTGCACTCCAGCCTGGGTGAAAGCATGAGACTCTGTCAAAAAAAAAAAAAAAAAAAAAGAAACAAAGAAAGCAATATCTTTCTGCGTATGTTATAGTTAATCTTAGATTATATGTGTATTATCAGTTTTCCAAATTTAGGATATTTACATAAGAATCTCTTAAACTTGGAGAAATTAAATCTGTTACCAAATTAATCTCTAAATGCCTCTCTTCATTAAGAACATTCACATGCAGCTTAGGACAGTGAAACTATTAGTCAGATTCTCTCCTAATCTATTTTAGGAGGAGAAACTTATGTATCACTTACACTTCATCATATTTATGAATCATTAGAATGGTGAGTGAAGAAGAAAGAAAAGAGGGGGAAGAAAACCTTTCCCCAGGTATTACTCCATTCTCACATTGTTAAAAAAAACTACTTGAGACTGGGTAATTTATAAAGAGAAAAGGTTTAATTGCCTCATTATTCCACAGGCTGTACAGGAGGTACAGCTGGGGAGAACTCAAGAAACTTACAATCATGGTAGAAGGTAGAGAGGAAGGAGGCATGTCATGGCCAGAGTGAGAGGAAGAGAGTGAAAGTGGAGGTGCTACACACTTTCAAACAAATAGCTATCATAAGAACTCACTCACTATCATGAGAATAGCAAGGAGGAAATCCACCCCTATGATCCAATCACCTCCCACCAAGCCCCTCCTCCAACACTGGGAATTACAATTCAACATGAGATTTGGGAAAGGATACAAATCCAAATCATATCACCCACCACTGTAAAAAATTACAAAGATTAGCTACCATAATTTTCTTGCTGGCACCTTATGGCATGTAAATATTACTTTATTTTTTTAATTTAAAAAATTCATGAAAACTCTCAAAGTTTTATATATAATTTAGGAACATTTCTATAAATCTTATGTGTATAAATAGCATCTTATATGATCACTTTAAAAATATATTTTATCATTTGCAAAAAACTAATAAAAGCAAAGATAAATGTATATTCACATTCATTTGCTTATTAGAAAGATTGAGAAATATTCAATGAAAGGACTAACTTATCACTCTCAAATTAGTCTTCATTTGTTAAGAAACATAATTTTATTTTAATGTAATGATCTTTGCTGAGAGATTTCTTAAACAGTGATGTTCTGCTTATAAAAAGAGACTCCCTAAAGTAGAGTGATATATATGGGGAAATGTCTACTAAATCAACCTCAGCATTGTTGGTACTTGCAAGGGATGTCTTTTATTGATTAATATGCAGAATAGAAATGTTATTTATTCTTAATGTCCATACTAATTCAGGAATCTCTCTGATTAAAACATATATTTTTTGTTTAATTCTTTTTATTAAATATTTTGTTGAAGGATACATTTTCCAATAATATGTGAGTTTCTTAGTTTTTGTTGATGTAACAGAATATCAGATTGGGTAATTTATAAAGAACAGAAGTTTATTTGGCTCATATTCATAAAGACTGGGAAGTCCTAGGGTATAGCACCGCATCTGGCAAGGTGAGAATGACCTCTTCATACAGAAAGAAAAGGGCACCAAACTTCCCTCTTTTATAACTAAACTACAGCAAAAATAATTTCATTAATCTATTCATAAGGATAGTGCTTTCATGACCTAATCACCTCTTGAAGTCCCCATATCTTAATACTCGTTACAATGGCAATGATATGTCACATGAGTTTTGGAGAGTGCATTCAAATAATAGTGGTGAGTTTTTATTAAAATTTGTACCAACTGTATGTATAGACACAGTGGTTAAAATAACACAAATTCCACAGGTTAGTAGTGTCAGTAAGGCATTACATGTTATTGTCATTAAAAAACACATAATATCTATCAGTTATCACCATATCACTTTGCTATGGTTTGAATGTCCCCTCAAAAATGTGTGTTGAAATTTAATTACCATTGTGACAGTATAAGTGGTGGGACCACTAACAGGTGATTAGGCCAAAATAGTTTTGCCCATATGAATATATTAATGTTATTATTGTGGGAGTGGGTTTGTTACCGTGAGAGTGAGTTTTTGTAAAGGTATGTTCAGCCTTCTCTTGCTCCTTGGCTACCTTGCCTTATCTTTATCTTCTGCCTTCAGCTATGAGATGAAACAGCAAGAAGATCCTCTCCAGATGCTGGTTCCCTGCTCTTGGAACTCCCAACTCCTTGAACCATGAGCCAAGTAAATGTCTATTGTTTATAAATCACTAAGTCTTTGTTATCCTGTTATATCAACACAAAATGGACGAAGACACACCTATACATCAGTAGATGTTAATATTTTATATGTTACAAAGTTGCTATAATTTTGAAGAAAGACATACCCACTCCTACGGCCCCTCCTCAGAAAAACTTTATAAAGATTTTATTTAATGTTAAAGAATCCATAAATAATTTATAAATTAAGTTGCCATAGATCAATATAATGATAAGCCACATATTAAACCCTAATAGCTATGAGATTGATAATTCAATAAGAATTAATCAGAAATTCAGCTATTTGAAGAAAAAGAGAAATTTTATCTCAATTCTAAACCTTAAATAAAACGTCAGTAGATTAAAAAGTGTTAGAATGTATGCTATATTTATAGAGCCCCTAGCTTCTTTATAATAAATTTTCTTCACCTTTTAAAAATCAAGCTTATTGGGGCATAATTTATGTACAACAAAATGCTCACAGTTAGATCTGTTTTGTCAAATCTATAAATCTGTGTAATCACTACTATAATAAATGTACAGAACATTTTTTTCACCCCACTGCTTTCTTTTATTACCCTTCACAGTGATTTCTTATGGTTTCTCCTCAGATTCAGGGAACTACTGCTCTCTGTCACTGCAGTTTAATTTTTCTTATATAAAATCTCATATGAATGGACTCAGACATGTACTTTTGTGTATCTGGCTTCTTTCAGTCATCATATATTTTTTAGGTTCATCCATACTCTTTCCCATATGAGTAATTTACCTTCTTTTAAAATATAAAATTAATTTTTAAAGAAATATATAAATATATAAATTTAACCAAACAGTAAATATATTTATTTATGTAAGAAATAATTAATATTAATTAAAAGGCACATAAAAATATATAAATATTTATATAGACAAAAAATTATAATTTGGGGTATATATAAATCCATTAGGTAAATATTTACTATTACATTAGTAAAACGGATAAAGAAAATTAATAGAAAATTAGTAGAAAGTAATAAAAGCAATCAACTGACATATGAAATATCCAAGCGTATTAATTATTGAAGTAATCTTAAAACTAAGACGCTTATTTTTTTCACTATACAATTATTAATGGGAAACAATGAGCATGTAATAAATATGAAGACTCAGTTACACAGGCATCTTCATATATGTAGAAAGCTCTATAAAATAAATTTGTAATTGAAAAACCCCCCAAAACATAATTTTTTTTTTTTTTGAGACGGAGTCTCACTCTGTCGCCCAGGCTGGAGTGCAGTGGCACATCTTGGCTCACTGCAAGCTCCACCTCCCAGGTTCACGCCATTCTCCTGCCTCAGCCTCCAGAGTAGCTGGGACTACAGGTACCCGCTGCCATGCTCAGCTAATTTTTTTGTATTTTTAGTAGAGACGGGGTTTCACCGTGTTAGCCAGGATGGTTTTGATCTCCTGACCTCGTGATCCGCCTGCCTCGGCCTCTCAAAGTGCTGGGATTACAGGTGTGAGCCACTGCGCCTGGCCATAAATTTTTATACTTAGACAACTTTACTGGAGAATTCTACCAATCATTTCATGAAGAGTTTGACACAATCTTTTTTAGAAAATAGAAGTGATAACACAATTCTACATAATAGTTTTCTGAAAATAGAAGAGGAGATAACTCTTCCATTTTATTAAGATAGTATATTACCTGAAAGCAAAACCAGTCAAAGAAAGTACAAGACACTATAGATCAATATTCTACATGACTATAAATGTAAAAATTCTTGACAAAATATTAGCAAATACAATTTGCAATATGTATAAAAATGAGTGTTTTCATAGATAAAGGAGGAGGTAGGTCCTGAAAAGCAGTGAGTGCTGCAACTAAAGAACAATATGAAAGATTCTTGTGGCAATGGAAATTTTTTGTTTGTGATATTATACTACATTTTGACAAGATATTACCATTGCTCAAAGCTGGTTAAAATGTACTTGAGATTCCTCTATGTAGTTTTTTCATAATTGTATGTAAAATTTATATGAAAGAAAAAGTAAAGAAGAAAAAACAAAAACACGATCTTGAATTTAGCTGATATTTTATGATAATTTCAAATGCTATTTTAAAATTAACCAGTGAGTTTACAGGTTAGTCCAATTGAATAATTTTATTTATAGTTTACATTGACCGGGAGCTAATGCCTGAAATGGGGGCCTCATGACTCTGTCCTATCATATTCTAGTGTGGCTGATCTGACATCCAAGAGGTAAAACAAATTCTCTTTACTCTTTGCTCTCTTCTCCTCAAGCAGAAGGAAAGAGTCACTTTTATTGTTGCAAGTTGTACTATTGGAAGCTGGGAGAGAGGTGACAGAAGTACTCCCTTAGCCACCCTGACTGGTGTCTTACTAGGTCATGTGCCGCCCACGTCTACTGCTCCCCAGCCCAGAACAGCACTACGACTTGCCTTTTGGACTAGACTTGGTTGCCTTTCAAGTTTGTTTGGACTCCAGAGTACGTTAGCCTGCAGTAGTGAGGCTTATTGAAGCTCATATTCTGACCACTGGGATGGGTGAGTCCTCTTTGGCTAGGGCATGTCTATACACTCTCTCAGTGTGTGGGAATCAGCTGAGTTTAGCCTGGGTTTGCTTTCCACTGTGACAGGGCAGCACTGAGTTCAAAGCAGGGTCTTACAATCATGGCACTTCCCTCTCCCAAGTGAACAGATTCTCCACACTATATGGCTGCTGCCAGGAGATGGGAGAGGGGTGGTATTGATAATTCAAGATTGTCCTTCCCATCTTCTGCAGTGCTTCTTTCAGTAATATGCAGTTAAAATCAGGTGCTGTGATTGCTCACCTGATTTTTGGTTCTTATGAAGTGCTTGTGTGTATAGAAAGTTGTTAAATTTGGTGTTCCTTCCCATGTGGCAAAAAAAAAGAAAAAAAAGCCAGTTTTCAAGGGAGAAATTTTAAAAGGTTGCATAAATTTGCATAAACAGAAAGGAGCCAAGTGCAAGTCACCAAGACAAGGGGGAGAAGGCCTTGAAGGCATTTCAGAGACCATCAAGGCAGCCTCTCTCATCATAGGCCCGGAAGCCTAGGAGGACTGAATGGTTTCATGAGCCAGGCCCAGGACCTCACTCTACAGCACAGCCTTGGGAAACTACTTCCAGCCACTCTAGCTCAAGCTGTGACTCCAAAGGTCCCAGGTACAGCTCAGGCCACTGCTCCAGAGGATGCGAGCCATAGACTTAGCAGATTCCAAGTGGTGGTAAGCCTGAGGATGTGCCGAATGCAAGAGTTGAGGCTTGGAAGCCTCTGCCTAGATTTCAGAGGATGCATAGAAAAGCCTGGATGTCGAGGCTGAAGCCTGATGCAGGGGTAAAACCCTCACAGAGAACCTCTACTAAAGCGGTTCAGAAAGGAAATGTGGGGTTGGAGCCCCCATACAGAGTCCCCACTGAGGCAATGCCTAATGAAGCTTTGAGAAGAGGGCCATTATCTTCCAGATCCCAGAATGGTAGAGCCACTTACAGCTTGCACTATGTGCCTGGAAAAGCTGTAGGCACTCAATGCCAGTCCAAGAAAAGCAACTGTGGGAGCTGAACCATGTAAAGCCACAGGAGTGGAGCTGCCCAAGGCCTTGGTAGCCCAACCCCTTGCAGCAGTGTGCCCTTGATGTGGGATACAGGGTCAGAGTAGATTATTTTAAAGTTTTAAGATGTAATAATTGCCCTGCTGAGTTTCACATTTACATGAGGTTTGGAATTCCTTTGTTATGGCCTATTTCTCCCTTTAGGAATGGGAGTATTTACCCAATGGCTATACCCAAATTTTATCTTGGGAGTAACTAAGTTATATTCTATTTTACAGGCTGATAGATAGAAGGGACTTGCCTTTTCTCCAGTAAGCCTTTGGTCTTTTGACAGTTGAGTTAATGCTGGAATGAATTATGACTTTGAAAGACTGTTGGGAAGGCATGGCTGTATTCTGAAATGTAAGAAGCACATGAGATTTGGAAGGCACCAGGAATAAAATGATATGGCTTAGATCTGTGTCCTCACTCAAATATCAAATTATAATTCCCGAAATGTTGGAGGTGATGCTTGTTGGAGGTGACTGGATCATGAGGGTGGATTTCTCATGAGTGGTTTAGCACCATCTCCTTGCTCCTGTTCTTGCAACAGTGAGTTCTCATGAGTTCTGGTTATTTTAAAGTGTATAACACTCCCCCACTTCTCTCTTTTGCAACTGATCTCAACATGTGAGATGCCCCACTCTTCTTCTGATATCTACCATGATTGTAAGTTTCCTGAGGCCTCCCCAGAAGCTTAGCAGATGCCAGGATAATGCATCCTGTACAAGTCTATGGAGCCATGAGCCAATTAAGCCTCTTCTTTACTAACTACCCAGTCTCAGGTATTTCTCTATAGCAATGCAAGAATGAACTAATACAGAACCTATTAGATAATTACAGAATATTTTATCCCATGGCTATAGAATACACATTCTTCTCCTCAGCAAATGAATTGTTCTCAAGTATAGAGCATATTTTAGGTCACAAAACAAGTCTTAAAACACTTCAAAAAATTAAAATAGTATCAAGCATTTTCTCTGACCAAAATGGAATAAAACTAGAAATCTATAACAAGAAGAATTTTGGAAACCATACAAACACATAAAAATTAAACAATGTGCACCTGTATGACCAATGGGTCAATGAAGAAATAAAGAAGGAAAATGAAAAATTTCTGAAAACAAATAATAATACAAACAAACATACCAAAACCTATGAGATAGAGTGAAAGCAGTTCTAAGAGGGAAATTTACAGCCATAAGAGCCAACATCAAAAAAAAAAAAAAAAAAAACTTCAAATAAACAACCTAATGATTCACTTGAAGGGAATGGAAAAGCAAGAGCAAACTAAAGCAACAATTAATGGAAGTAAATATATTAAAAATATTACAGCAGAAATAAAAATAAAATTGAAATGAAGAAAATACAAAAATTGAATAAAATGAAATGTTTGTTACTTGAAAAGATAAACAAAATTGACAAACTTGAGCCAGACTAAGAGAAAAAGAGAGAATACACAAATAAATAAAATCAGAGTTGAAAAAAAAAATACTACAACCAATATCAGAGAAATTCAAAGGATCTTTAGTGGTTCCTGTGAGCAAATATTACAATAAATTGAAAAATCCAAAAGAAATAGATAAACTCATAGATATATACAACCTATCAAGTTTGAACCATGAAGAAATCCAAAACCTAAAAGAACCAATAACAAGTAACAATATTGAAATCATAATCAAGGTGTAGTAAAAAAAAAAAAAATCTCAGATCCTGATGGCTTCACTACTGAATTCTACCACACATTTAAAGAACATTTAATACAAATCTTACTTAAACTATTCTAAAAAATAGAGAAGGGAATACTTCCAAACTCATTTTTCAAAGCCAACATTATGTCGATACCATAACTAGACAAAGAAACACCAACAAAAGAAAACCAAAGGCCAATATCCCTGATAAATATTAATGTGAAAATCCTCAACAAAATGCTAGCAAACCAAATTCAACAACATATTATTATAAAAAGATCATTTGTCATGGCCAAGTGGGATTTATTCCTGGGATGCCAGGATAATTTAATACATGCAAATCAATCAATGTGATACATCATATCAGCAGAACAAAGGCCAAAATCCATGTAATAAATTTAATTGATGCTGAAAAATCATTTCATAAAATTCACCATGCCTTTATGATAAAAAATATCCTCCAAAAGCTGAGTATAGAGGGAACATACCTTAACATAGTAAGTATCATACTAAACAGCTAAATACTGAAAGTCTTTCCTCTAAGGTTGACAATACAACAGGGATGCCCACTGTCACCAGTTATTCAACATAGTACTGGAAGTCTTAGCTAGAGCAATCAGATGAAAGAAAGCCATCCAAACTGGAAAGAAATAAATCAAATAATTTTTATTTGCAGATGATATAATCTTGTATTTGCAAAAACCTAAAGACTCCACCAAAAAACTCTTAGAACTGATAACCAAATTTAGTAAAGTTTCAGGATACAAAATTAACACACAAACATCAGTAACATTTCTACATGCCAACAGTGAACAATCTGATAAAGAAATCAAGAAAACAATCCCATTTACAATAGCTGTAAATAAAATAAAATACCTAGGAATTAACTCAACCAAAGAAGTGAAAGGCCTCTATAATGAAAACTATGAAACACTGATAAAAGAAACTGAAAAGGACACCAAGAAATGGAAAAATATTCCTTGTCCCTGGATTGGAAGAATCAATATCACTAAAATGTCCATACTATTCAAAGTTATCGGCAGATTCAATGGAATCTCTCAAAATACCAATATTTTCATAGAAATAGAAAAAAAAATTCTAAAATCTATATGGAACCACAAAAGACACAGAATAGCAAAAGATATTCTAAGCAAAGCAAACAAAACAGAAAGCATCACTTTACCTGACTTCAGATTATATTACATAGCTAGAGTAACCAAAACAGCATGGTACTGGCATAAAAACAGGCACACAAACCAATAAAACAGAATAAAGAAACAGGAAACAAATTACATTAAAAGTGACCTCATTTTCAGCAACAGTGCCAAGAACATATATTGGTGACAGGATAGTCTCTCCAATTAATGTTTCTGGGAAAACTGGATAATTATGTACAGAAGAATGAAACTCGACCTCTATCTCCATATAAAAACTCAAATCAAAATGGGTTAAAGATTTAAACCTAAGACCTCAAGCTATGAAACTTCTAAAATAAAACTTTTGGGGAAACTCTCCAAGACATTAAAGTGGGTAAATATTTCTTGAGTAATACCCCACAAGTCCAGGCAACCAAAACAAAAATAGACAAATAGCATCACCTCAAGTTAAAAAGTTTCTGCACAGCAAAGGAAACCATCAACAAATTTAAGAGATAACCCACAGAATGTAAGAATATATTTCCAAACTACCAATCTGTGTTAGGTTGTTCTCGCATTGCTATAATAAAACTGAAACTGCGGAAGGAGGTTTAATTGGCTAATGTTTCTGCAGGTTGTACAGGAAGCATGATCCTGGCATCTGATCAGCTTCTGGGGTGGCCTCAGAAATCTTACAATCATGATGGAAGACTAACAGGGTGCAGGCATCTCACATAGTGGGAGCAGGATGGAAAGAGGGAGGAGAGGTGCCACACACTTTTAAACAACCAAATCACACAAGAACTCACTGTTGTAAGGACAGTACCAAGAGGTGGTACTAAACCATTTATGAGACATGTCCCCATGATCCAATCACCTCCCACCAGGCCCCACCTCTGACATTGAGGTTTACATATCAACATGAGATTTGGGCAGGACACCATCCAAAATGTATCATCATCTGCGGAAGGATTAATATCCAGAATATATAAGGAGCTCAAACAGCTTTATAGGAAAAAAATCTAATAGTCCAATTTTAAAATGAGCAGAAGATTTGAATACACATTTTTCAAAAGAAGATACATAAAAATGCCAAACAGGTATATGACAAGGTACTCAACATCACTGATTATCAAAGACATCCCAATCAAAACTACAATAATATATGATCTCACCCAAGTTATAATGACTTTTATCCAAAACACAGGCAATAACAAATGCTGGCAAGGATGTGAAGAGAGGGGAACTCACACACTGTTGGTGGGAATGAAAGTTAATACAACCACTATGGAGAACAGTTTGGAGGTTCCTCAAAAAACTAAGAATTGAGCCACCATATGATCCAGCAATTTTACTGGTAGGTGTATATTCAAAAGAAAGAATATCAGTACATCAGAGAAATATCTGCACTCCCATGTTTTTTTTCAGCACTATTCACAATCGCCAAGATTTGGAAGCAACCTAATTGTCCATCAACGGATGAATAAAGAAAATGTGGAACATATACACAATTAAGTACTATTTAACCATTAAAAAATAATGAGATCCTGTCATTTGCAACCACATGGATGGAAGTGGAGATGATTATGTTAAGTGAAGTAAGCCAGGCACAGAAAGACCAATATTGCATGTTCTCGCTTATTTGTGAGAGCTAAAAACTGCAACAAATGCACTCAGAGAGAGAGAGTGTAGAAGGAAGGTTACCAAAGTCTGGGAAATGTATTAGAGGGGTTGGACCAAACTGGGACTGTTATATGGATACCAAAAAATAATTAAAAAGAAAGAATAAGAACTAGTAGCTGATAACAGCACAGGGTGACTATAGTAAATATGATTTAATTGCACATTTTAAAATAACTAAAAGAATATAATTGGATTGTTTGTAACACAAAGGGTAAATGTTTGAGGTGATGGATACCTCCTTTATCCTGATATGATTATTACACATCATATGCCTATATCAAAATATGTACCTCATAAATACATATACCTACTATGTACCCATAAAACTTTAAAAAATAAAAGTTACAAAATGAAAAAATTATTTTAATTTCAAAATGAAATTTACTTGTGTTACATCTTAATTTAAACTCATTTCTTCTTTTATAAGTTTCTTTCAACTTAGGCAAAATGATTTTAATTTTTTATTTAATAGATGTTTCCTTTGCATTTTCTGAGCAACACATTTAAAGCAAATAATAGAATATCACAATATATTGTGTCACTTATCAAATTAGAAATTTAAATAAGGCATCACTTTTCAGAGGTAGTGCTGTGCTTGGGCATTTTGAGTCACTGATCAAATATATCAACAGTTAAGTCTAGGCCCTTAAGAACTATATACTCTTAAGAACTTCTATACTCTAATACTGCCAGCTGGAAATATTCAAGAAAAAAGAACTTTAGTAGAGAAACTTTATACCAATCACTAATATTTATTTTTGGCCTATTTTTCTTAGGCTCAGGAAGATGGAAAAAGAAAAACAATGAAAGGATGTGGACTTCCACATCCTGTATTCTAAAGTATAGTAACTTTTCAGTTAAAGTTGCATTTTGTTATTCTGAGTCAGCAATTTAAAATAGTAATACATATAGGGATTCTTTGGGAATCTTCTTAAAAACATATTTAACAGGTGGTTAAAGAGAAAGTGTGCAGAACTATATTTTATTTTACATTTTAATTCATTCTAAACAGATACTCATCTTATACCTAACTTTATATTAAGAATTATGGGCCAAGCAGGGTGGCTCACGCCTATCCCAGCACTTTGGGAGGCCAAGGCAGGCGAATCACGAGATCAGGAGATCGAGACCATCTCGGCTAACACGGTGAAACCCCGTCTCTACTAAAAAATACAAAAAATTAGCCGAGCGTGCCTGTAGTCCCAGCTACTCAGGAGGCTGAGGCAGGAGAAGGCATGAACCCGGGAAGTGGAGCTTGCAGTGAGCCAAGATCGCACCACTGCACTCCAGCCTGGGCAACAGAGTGAGATTCTGTCTCAAAAATAATAATCACAATAATTATTTAATATTTTTATTAAAATGGGTTTCCCCAATTATATAAACTTCAAGCACCCAAAAGACAAGTTGAGGTCCATACTGCCAGTCTGAAGCATTGTCATCTAATGCAGTGTTTCCTCCACTCCCCATGGATAACTGCAGGCTTTTTCATGGCTTCTTTTGCAGGGTGCTCAGAGGTTCTCTGTTGGTATCTGTGATGGGAATTCCCTTGATGTGAGCAACGCATTTCTGCCATATGGCTGCCTGACCTGTCACCCTCAGCCCCTGTGTTTCCAATTATCTTCATTTCTTTTGGGATCTTATCTCTTTTGAGATGACCCATCCTTTGAGTTTTGTTTTGTTTTGTTTGTTTGTTTTTCAAGAAGGAGTCTGGCTCTGTCACCCAGGCTAGAATGCAGTGGCACGATCTCAGCTCACTGCAACCTCCGCCTCCTGGGTTAGAGTCACTCTCCTGCCTCAGCCTTCCCGAGTAGCTGGGATTAAAGGCACGTGCCACCACACCCAGCTTTTTGTATTTTTTAGTAGAGACAGGGTTTCGTGATGTTAGCCAGGCTGGTCTTGAACTCCTGACCTCAAGAGATCTGCCCGCCTCAGCCTCCCAAAGTGCTGGGATTACAGGTGTGAGCCACCGCGCCTGGCCTCCTTGAGGTTCTTATCTAATTGTCTGAATTACATGTCTTTGCCCCACAATCAGTGCAAGTATACCTGCTTTAAAATGCCACAATGTCTCTCTCTGCTCTACCACATTAGCTCATATCTAGACATGCTGTTAGATTTCAGATGGGTACAACTCATTCTGTTCATTTTGAGGGGGTAATCGTGTGAGTAGTCCCAGTGGCGCTCCCTCACACATTCTAAGGATAAAAAAATAGTTTTGCCTTTTCTGTGTGGAGACTATGCTCTCCAACACAGTCCCCTCCACAGTTCTTGGCAATTCTTTTCTCACAGAGCATAGCTATGTAGAACAAATTGGTCCCTGCCAACCTGTTTCCTCATCTCATTCTAGCCACTGCATGTTCTGGGCTAATTATCTTGAATGTTTACAATATATTAAGCCAGCATTTGGAGCCTTAGACAAAATCCCACAAAACCACCTGTTACATGTGTTTTTACCAAGATATTTTCAGTGTATTTTTACACACAATGCAATTTTAAAATTACTGGCTCAAAATTGGAAAACCCATTTTAAATTGAAAAATCACTCTGCTTTGAACATCTACAGTGGAAGATCATATGCTTTCATCATCTGTCACAGGTTCTATGAATACTATTTTTTAAATTATAGTTTCTCATATACAGTTTCCTTTCTCAAACAGTTAAGGTAGTTAAGTATTTGAGTCTAGTAGTTAGTACCTCAGTGAGTCTTAGGTAAGTGGTTAGCCTTAAAGTAGTTTAACTTTTTAATTTTTGTTTTCAGAGAAGTGGCCCAAAGGTATCAGCAAAGCTACAAGAATGACTTTCTATTTTATACAATTGCAAAGAGAAATAACTTGTGCAGAACAAATTGAGAGGTGATGGACAAAACTAATTATTTACAGCTGTCCTCTGAACTCTCCCACTCTGTCCCACTGAAATGATTACATTAACAAATCTGTCAGGAGGTTTGGTGTGCAGGGACATTGCTAAATCATCTTTGAAATCCTTTACTAGATCTGAGAAAATTTTGCAATAAAACATACATAGACCCCAGCATTTGTAAAGTGCTATCGTGCTGCCTGAAAGTAACAGTTATGAGTCATATTGTGCATATTTTGTAAAAAAAAATGAATCCTGCATAAATGCACTTAGCATAAAATCAATAGATATATAAGAGAAAAATTAATTTGCTTTGGAAACCTAAAATAAATAAATACTATTTATATTTATTATGGAACTATGTATTAAGTGTTAGAAATTTGCAATTAGTGGACGAGCGCGGTGGCTCACGCATGTAATCCCAGCACTTTGGGAGGCCGAGGCGGGCGGATCACAAGGTCAGGAGATCGAGACCATCCTGGCTAACACGGTGAAACCCGGTCTCTACTAAAAATACAAAAAACTAGCCGAGAGTGGTGGCGGGCGCCTGTAGTCCCAGGTACTCGGGAGACTGAGGCAGGAGAATGGCGTGAACCCAGGAGGCGGAGGTAGCAGTGAGCCGAGATCGCGCCACTGCACTCCAGCCTGGGCGAGAGAGCAAGATTCTGTCTCAAAAAAAAAAATAAATAAATAAATAAAAAGAAATTTGCAATTAGTTTAAAATGGCAAGTTAAAATAAGTAAATAAAAGAAAATGACTGCTTTCTGAATATGACAATCAATGAAGGAGCTGTATTGCAAGATTATATATTACTAAAGCAGATTTCCCCAAGCTCATCCAATCAAGGGTGATTAGCTTATTTGCTCTGAGACCTCATTAACTTGGAGCTTCAAAACTCTTCTCTGTAAAATAGACATAATGACAGTACTCTTTCTTTGGTTTGTTGTGTTAAATGAGATGATCCACGTCAGGACTCAGCACAATGACCATTACTAGTGTCCCATAAAGTTGGAATGATAATAATAACAATCATGCTAGTGATAAAGATAATTGCTTCAAGGTTTTAATGGCAATATTGAATTTATCAAAAAATAAAATGATGAATTCTCAGTAAAAAGCAAAAGAAATATAAATCATTTGCCTGAAGTGAATGCTGTATTGAGCAAAAAACTTTTATTCCATAAAATAACACATTTAGCTTTGTAATGTTCTGCTTGATATATGTTGTGAAATAAAACTGGATGCTGCTACTATTATTGCTAAATCATCATATTTTGAGCTTTTAAGGCAGTTAAGTGGATATTTGGTTTGAATATAGGGCAACAGATAAAGGAGCATTTTTTTTCACTAAAGGCCATTTCTATACTCCAGCCAACAACAAAAAGAATTGAAAAGAATATTATACTCAGAAACTGGAAGGTTGAATATTTCATTTTGAAGAAAGCACTGAATGGATTCTGAGTCTACTCTCTCTTTGTATTTATTTATTTATTACTTGCTTTTGATTGAAAAATAGTAATTGTATGTATTTATGGGGCACAATGTGATATTTTGATACATGTATGTATTGTGGAATGATCAAGTCAGGCTAGTTAACATATCCCTTAACACAAATATTTATCATTTCTTTGTGGTGAGAACATTTGAAATCCTCTCCTTCAGCTATTTTGAAATATACAATAAATATTAACTATAGTACTGTGCTTTGCAGCACAAAACTAGACTGTATTTCTCCTGTCTAACTGAAATTTTGTACTCCTTGACCAACGTCTTCCCTTTGCCAGCCCGTACTCATCCCTTCAGCCTCTGGTAACCACCATTCAACTCTCTGCTCCCTCAAGTTTGACTTTCTTAGATTCCACATATAAGTGAGATCGTAGAGTATCTGTCACATTTGCCTCCAGTAAGTATTCCATCATGTTTTGATATAGCATTTGGATATGTTTTAAAATATGCATAATATTCATTTACTTATTTACTTATTTTGTAGTCAGAGTCTCACTCTGTCACCCAGGCTGGAGTGCAGTGGCACGATCTCCGCTCACTGCAACCTCCGCCTGCCAGGTCCAAGCAATTCACCTGCCTCAGCCTCCCAGCTAGCTGGGATTACAGGCACCTGCCACCACACCCAGCTAATTTTTTTGTATTTTTAGTAGAGAGGAGGTTTCACCATGTTGGCCAGGCTGGTCTTGAACTCCTGACCTATAGTGATCTGCCTGCCTTGGCCTCCCAAAGTGCTGGGATTACAGGCGTGAGCCACTGTACCTGGCCTAAAATACACATAATAATGTACCTTTATTTTGTGAAAATTAAATAAAATTATTAAATGTTGAAAAATAATCCCTTGCCTATGGAGCCATTTTAAAGAATCTTCATATAGTTTCCTATATATGAAAAGTCAGGAATTTAAGCTCTGGATCAATGGTTTTGGCTATTAAAGAAACGAATATATTGACAAGATTTCCCAGGGAGATTATTTGAAATCACAAAAACCTTTTTTATTGGCTTTGTCACATCATAAAAATAAAATATATATCTATTTTATAATTTAATTCCTCATTTCAGAAATTCACAATACCACATTTAGTCATTTCTAGCAGCATTTGGCAATGAGAGAAGGCAGCCTTCTCTTTATTAAATAGTTCTTCTCAGAGTCTGTGGAGAAGAAATAAACTGAGGGAACTGAGGGACAATGACTGGATGATAAATGATAGTTTCACCATTTTTTATATTAATTAAGCAAAATCAGGAGGCAGTATTGCCCTCAGCTGTTGAAGTGATACCATGTGGTTTGGCATGAGAAACAATTCATCTTATTCATATAGCAACATAATTCCTTTCATAAATATAGGTGATAGTCCCTCAATACTTCCCAATGCATCTTTTCACTCTATTTCTAGACTCAAATATAATCATAATGTACAATACCTTTCCTTGGTATTTCAAGAGATTTTAGTAATTCTCTCTAATGTCACTTACAGTTCTGTTTGCTAGCAGTGCTAGCAGTAGGGGTAACAACTTGTCTTTCTTATAGAACTCATAATTTTATACATAATTTTCTTTTTTAGCTAATTCTCCAAAATCATCACACATACCCATTTTTTGAGGTAAATACAGGCTCACCATTCTTTATTCATACGCACATTGCTTTTTTTGCTTATTTAAATAATATCCTAAATTGAAATAATTATATTTTTGAATTAGTGAAATACTGTTCTATTTTTTGAAGTGAAAATGTCATCATAAGCAAATACACACATTACCTAAAAATATGCTGTAAATTATGCAATATTACATAATGTTAACAAAGATTGACTTATGCAGATATCTTTTTAATATATAGTTTTTAGATTTGAGAAGAAGCCACAAATGTCTCCATAAAAAATTGCAAAGAACAGGGACAGAGACAGAAATTTCACAAAGGTAAAGCTATAATACAAGAGAAAAACAAATATGAAAAGATGTGTATCACCATTAATAAAATTTAACTAAAAATTAAAATGAAAACCAAATACTTAATGCACCACATTGAAATCTTTTTTAAATTATCACTCATATTTAGAATTACTGTTGAAAATATATAATGATACAAATAGTTGAAAGGCTATTTGGCTGTGTTATCAAAAGCCAAACATCTGTACTTGCCCTTTGAAAGTTATATTCTAGGAGTCTAATTTAAAGAAAAAGATAGGAGCAATGATTTAGATACAGTAATCCTGACAGCAATGGAACAAAGTAATGGTCAATTCAGAATTCTGAATATAATTTATAACACAAACATGCAATGGGTATTATCAGACAAGTGAAATCATCTTGGAAATAAGTAATCTTATCAAAATTACATGAATAATGCCAATTATAAAAATGTGCAAAAACATTATTATATAATAAGATAAAATAAAAATGGCCAGAATTTACAGATAATCAAATATCTGTATTTCTATCTCTGCATCAAAAAAAGTATTAAACAGAAAATATACTTTTAAATAAATATATAGCAAATTGTCTCTGGGAGGAATATTATTGATAGATTGTGTATGCATATGCAGTGTTTTCTCATATGTCTTTGCATAACTGGTACATTTCCAGGTAAAATAAATATTAAAAAATGCAACCTTTATTTTGTCTTTATTAAAATATGTGCTGAGATTTTTTATGTTAATATTATTTGGTAACGGACAGAAGGAACCCCCACATTCCCATTCCAAATATATTTAAAAGAGAAACATTTACCTTCACCTGGGGAAAAAAAACAAGGAAATAAATTAAAAAAGAAAATAGATATTTAAATAAATTAGGGGACAAATTGTTTATGATGAGTCTTTCATGGTAGAAAGTAGGTTAGATTGAAAAAAATCTCTGACATGATTTGTCATTATGTCGGGTTAAGAAATCTGGTGAGCTAGTGGTTAACCCAGTTGAACAAACTGTTGCCCTAATAGGAAAGTTTTTAGCCAAGATGAGCAAATTGTTTGCCCAGGTAAATTGGTTTCCCAGAAATTTTAGAAACAAGCAGCAGTTATTTATTGTTTAAAAATCTTATTTACCTGGCAAGAATTGTACAGAACAAAGTCTTGCTGACACAGGTGGTCTCATATTCTCAGTCCCAATAGTGAGTAATGTTGACATAGGTCATTTCAATTTTCAGGACGTTAGTTTCAAGGAAGTAAAACTTCCTCCTCCGAGTGGTGCCAAAGTTTATTGTAGCATAGCTTTTGAAATTGGATAGAGAAAATAGGTTTTCTGGTGTTGGAGTTTAGGAGAGATGTAGAGGTTGAATGATAGTATTCATAAATTATTTTCTTCACTGACCTTCCACTATTGGGGGAAGGGGTCACCTATTTTCTTGTTACTTTCATGTTTCAATTTGGAAGTTTAACAAGAGTAATGCTCCTGACTGATGACTACCTCTTCACTCATTCTTACATGTGAAAGGGGAAAAATAATTGTGGTAAATTTTCTTTAATAATCATGTTCTAGTTTTCTGAGTTAAAGATTAAAGATTTTAGAAAATAGTCATGAAATTGAGTTGGATAAAAGCTTAATATATAAAAATAGATAAGTAGGTTAAAAATAAAATTATTCTTCAAAATTTCATCTCACATTAAATGATGTTTTGTTGATTATGAGTTTGTAATCCTTTATTACTGTCCATTTTCTTTTACTTTTCTCCTTTAAAAACCTTGGTAATATTTTTACAGTTGTTAAAATAAATAATTACTAATTCATATATATTTTTAAACCTTTGTAATTTAATCCTATTTAATATTTTCAGTTTACTGCTCAGAATAAAATATTTTGGGTTGATTTTTGCATATGTACAGTCAAAGGTGATGTAGAGTTAAGCTTTGTGTGCATGTGCGTATATTTTTATATCTGATACGAAGATATATAGACAAACTGGTTTATTATATAAAGACTCAAAACTGTAAATATAATCATTAGAATGTTATCCTCAAGAATAGTTATAAGAATGTTCTGGACATAACAGAAAAATATTTTCAGTCTATGCAACTCAAAATGGCTATGTTTGCTTCGTTTTGAAAACATTTTAATTCCAGAACGTGAGAATATGAGTTAGACGCAATTTTATTTTTATTTTTTGAGGTAGAGTCTCACTCTGTTGCCCAGGCTGGAGTGCGGTCGTGAGATCTCGGTTCACTACCACCTCCACCTCCTGGGTTCAGGAGATTCCCCTGCCTCAGCTCTCTCAGTAGCTGGGATTACAGGTGTGTGCCACCACATCCAGCTAATTTTTGTATTTTCAGTAGAGACGGGGTTTCATCATGTTAGCCAGGCTGGTCTCAAACTCCCAACCTCAGGTGATCCGCTCTCCTTGGCCTCCCAAAGTGCTGGGATTACAGGTGTGAGCGACCGTGCCCGGCCTGAGTTAGTGGTAATTATTAAGTGTTAATCATTTGAGAGAATTGTTACTCGTGCCTGTGGATTCAAATCTGGAGGGAAGAATTTTCTGGTTAGTTGAAATTAAAATTTAACTGATAATCATATGGTTTTCAGTCTAGCATGTAAGGGCTTTAGAAGTTCCCACTCACCCTAACAATAAGTAAAACGCTGAACAAACTGAAAAATCAGCAACTCCTCTTAGATCTGTCAGAGAAGTAAGAACATGAGGAAAACCCCTGACCCAAAAATCAGAGAGAAAGACAAGCAATTACAGAGAATCACAACTTACCACAGCAGAAACCTATGAGCAGAAACCTCCATGGAAGCCAGTACCAGGGCAGGAAAAGCTTGACTGTAATTGATACGTTGCTAGAGGCTCAGTGAGGATGAGTCTGAGAGTTAGATACTCAAGGCAGACCCCTGTTATGTTAAAGATCCCACTCCTTAGTGAGTCTTATCTCAAGGAGCTCTTGCAGGTCCTTACAGAAAATATCAGAAAAATCCTGTGTGCTTGTGGCAGAAGAGGTAAAATAACGATTTTGAAATGCATTACAGCATTCTGTTCTTAAAAGGTTTGCCTTCGGGAGAAGCTATTTTAGTAGAGCCTAACCTGGTTAGGTTTTATCAGTCTAACCAACTGGCGAAAGGAAAATCACAACTTTCCAACCCCTCCAGCCCTTCTGGCCTACCTAAGTGGGGAAACAGTCTGGAAGAACTGGTGAAGTTCACAGACCAAGAACACGGTATCACCCAAAGGACTGAGACCGAATCATAGGGCCATAGAATGCTTCTCTTTCCTCCAAGGCTCACCATCACACAGCAAAAGGTCTATTTACCTAACTTCCTTTCACCCAGTACATTATGTTCAGATTTTTAAAAAAAAGTGACAAGAAATTCTAAAAGGCAAAAACAAAAACAAACAAACAAAACCCACATCTTTAAGAGACTTAACAAGCGTCAAAACCAATATCAGATATGATAGGGATGCTGAAATTATCAGACCAGGAATTTAAAACAACCATGACTAACATGCTAAGAGTTTTTTGTTTTGTTTTGTTTTTTGTTTTTTTGTTGTTGTTTGTTTGTTTTTTGATGGAATCTCACTCTGTCACCCAGGCTGGAGTGCCGTGGCACGATCTTGGTTCACTGCAACCTCCGCTTCCCGGGTTCAAGCGATTTTTCTGCCTCAGCCTCCTGAGTAGCTGGGACTATATGTGCCCACCACCCCGCCAGGCTAATTTTTCTATTTTTAGTAGAGATGGGGTTTCACCATTTTGGCCAGACTGGTCTCGAACTCCTGACCTCAGGTGATCCACTTGCCTCAGCTTCCCAAAGTGTTGGGATTACAGGAGCGAACCACCACACCTGGCCACTAAGGGTTTTAAAGGAAGAAATACATAACATGTAAGAACAAAAATATAATGTAAGCTACGAGATAGAAATCTCAGAAAAACTTAAAATAAAAAAAGCTAGAGATCAAAAACATTGTGAAAGAAATGAAAATTCCTCTGTAGCTCAGTAGTAAACTGCATGTGACTGAGGAAAAAAAATCTCTAAGCCTGTAAATATGACAATAGAAACCTTCTAAACTGAAAAGCAAACAGAAAAAGCCTGAAAAAAAAAAAAGCGGGCTAAGAACTGTGGAACAACCACAAAAGGAATAACTTATGCATAATGAAAAGCCAAAGAAAGAAGACAGAAGAAAAAAAAAACTGAAGCAACATTTAAAGCAATAATAACATAATTTTTAAAATTAGTTCAGGCACCAAACCACAGATCCAGAAATGTCAGAGAACACCAAGCAAGATAAATGACAAAAATAATTACACCAAGGTATGTAATATTCAAACTTCAGAAAGTCTAAGATAAGGAAAAAAATCTTGAAATAAGCCAGAGGGAAAAATACCTTACCTACCAGAGAGCAAAGATAAGAATTACATCTGACTTTTCAAATACTATGCCAACAAGAAGAGAGTTGAGTTAAATATTTAAAATGTTGAAAGGAAAAAAAACACCAACCTAGAATTCTATACTCTGAAATTTCCTTAAAAAGTGAAGGGGAAATAAAGACAAATAAAAATTGAAAAAAATTGTTGCCAATAGACTTGCCTTTTACTAAATGGTAAAAGAACTTCTTCAGAGAGAAGAAATAATATAGGCCAGAAACTCTGATCTACATAAATAAAACAAAAGCATTAGAAAACAAATAAGTAAAGATAAAATAAAAGCTTTTATTGTCTTATTCTTTCTTAATCTAACTGACAACATTCTGTTCCAAATGATAATAAAAATAATGTAGGTGATTACATGTGCATGCTTATGAATGACAAAAATGATATAAGGGATAAAAGAAAGGGATTCAGAATAGTTTCTTATTGTAGGATACTTAAACTAGGCATGAAGTGGTGTACCGTTATTTGAAAGTGTACTTTGATTACTTGTGAAATATATAGTGAAAACTCTAAGGCGACTACTAAACCAAAAAAGTGAAAAGATAAATATAAAAGATAGGCTAATAAAGAGGAAAAAATGAAATGAGAAATGATTTTCTCAAAAGCCCTTTCCAATGTTGAAACAAAACTTCTTAAAGTTGTTGTTGAGGGGGGTAAGGGTTATGTCTTACAGATTTGTCCAAATTATCCAAATAAAAATCTCAAAGTATAATCTTTATGTGGCAAAATTGTTCCTTCTTCATTTTTATTACTTATATAAGTGAATCTTATTTTTCTGTATTTATGCATTTTTAAAAACAGTTTAAATCTTTGTTAGAAAGTCATTTATTAATCCATGTCACATTTATTGACTAAAACTAAAATAATTTTTCAGAAGTAATTTAAATCAGGAGAAAAAATTCCAGTTAGTATCAGTTGTAAAATCACTCTTAAAAATTATTTCTAATATTGAAAGAATTATGTAGTGAACGGAATTCTTAGCACTCAGAATTTCTGCTACTGGTATATACATGTTCAATAATTGCCTCTTTTGAGTTGGGCCAAACCTGTATTCTGATGGGATAGACACTTTCTTGATTTGTTCAAGTTGTAAGACACCAATGTTGAAATAGTTATTCCTATAATTATGTTAGAGCAGACTAGCAGCCTACACAGAACTTTTCCTGCCAGTCTTGAAGAATTAAGTTGCTATATTATGAAAGCAGTTATGAAGGGGACTGCATGGCAAGGGCATAAGGGTGCTCTGTGAGGTTGCTAGCCAACAGCTAGCAAGAAAAACGGAGACTTCAAACTTACTACCGCAAGGAATTGTGCTCTGCCAACAATGTGAAAGTAGAAGAGGACCCAAGCTTCAGAAGAGATAGCAGCCTGGGTCGTTACCTTGATTTCAGCTGGTAAGACCCTGAGAAGAGGCTGTAGTTAACTGATGTCTGGCTCCTAATTCGTGGAAACTATGAGTTAATAAATGTTGTTTTACGTCTTAAAATGTGTGATAATTTGTTATGTAACAATAGATAACAAGAACCAATTATGTCAATTATAATGCATAAAGGTTTGCCACTTGAATGTAAAGATCTTTTAGATTGACCTGGAGAGGCTGAGATAAGTTTGGCAAGAAACCACTGAGTATTGCTTGAATGAATTTTTCTATGGGATAAAGAAACAGACTCTAAGACCTTGACCTAAAAAAACAACATTAATCTTAAAATGGAAGAGGAGGTTCTGAGTGCAACATAGTATCATCTAGGCAAATTTTTTCAACTTATCTTTTTTGTGTTTGCTTAGAGTTGATTTTATACATAAAACAGTCATCAGTACAGTAAGTGGCCATGGATGCAAACCATTTTTCTTAACTATACAGACACTCCCAAAATCATTGTGAAATCATTTTGAAATTTTCGGGAAAGCTATGGTACAATGAGATTTTTATTAATTTTTAAAAACGAGGGAGTGTGAGGTCTAGATTTTCCCCCAACCACTTTTCACCCACTGGCAGGTTTATACTGCAGACTTTGAGGCATATATTATCGTGTTTTTGAATTTTACTTAGTAAGGCCAGGCCAGGGGCAACTTTTTTCCATATACTATAAAGCATATATAATGTCATCCTAATTGAATATAATTTAGAGAGCCAAAGGAAATGTCACAGACTTATATAGCCAGTAGAGATTACTAAAGTTCATCCAGCCTGTAGTATTCTCTTTCCTTTAGAAAAACATGTAACTAAATCTTCCCAGATGACTACCAAAAACACTCTTTGGTTCTATGACCTCACTATAAATACATATTTAGGTTTTTCCCTTTGTTAGAAATGTCTTCTTCATATCTACTGTTAATCACCCATACCTATTTGAGTATATTAAGACTTTGACATTAATGTGAACTAAATTATTCACGTAAAATATGTTAAAGAATAATGCTATATTCTAATTCATATTTAATTACATATAGGTATAATTCTGTCTTTACTAAATCTCTTAATATATTTCCTATTGGGAAGGTAGTAGGGAAACTGTAGTAGGTATGATGAAGACTACCTAGATGTTCAACAATTTTCAGCTTCATTTGAACTTGGATTGGGACAAAGTTGATTCTGGCTAATAAAATGTATGCAGAAGTGATAGTCACTTGCAAGCCTGGACAAAAAAAGAATAAATCTGAGCTATCTTTTATGATGTCTTTCTCCCTTTTCTACCTGGCTGGAAACAAGGGATTTCAAAACACTAAAGCAACATCATTGAAAGAGTCCACTTTCTTAAGTCACTGATTGGAAGAACGTTCCAGAGAAAGATGCCTGATCTTAACTGATAATTTATGTGAGCAAGAAAAAAATTTTGTGGTTTGCCACTGAGATTTGGGGTTAAACAGATTTACCTTTTCCTAATACGTAGATTTTCATTACGGTAAAAAGTGATGATTTATGAATTTTAGATTTTATAATACATTACAGTTGTTTTTATATTTCCAGATCTTTGCATCTATAAAACTGATTAACAGATTGAATCATTCATTCATTCAGTCAACCAAGTATTAATCAATGTAGGCATCATTTTTCAACATATTTTTGTTGCCTCTCTGTCATATATAAGTTGTGGGCTTAGCAAAACCCAACTTAGATTTCAGCTTTTAAGTGAAGAAGGAAACTACCTAATCACCATCCTCTGAATTTTTTTTTATTTTTTGTCTCAATCATAAAGATTAGAGTATTTTAATTAATATTTTTAAACAATTGAACACATGAATGGAGTTTGAGAAATGAGAAAAACCCCAAATACGGAAATGAGATTTTGGTTACTCATTATCTTCACTATATTTCTGTAATAGAATCATCTGCCAAAGAATGCCTTTTTGAATTTCCTTGTTAAATCTCTTCCTATAAAATGAGCTTCGCTAATTAACTCAGTGAATTCCAGAAATCAAAGCTTATAACTACTAAATTTGTTTAATGAATGGACTATCAGTGTAATAGAATATTCACTTATAATGGGTTGCTTGGTAACTATTATATTTAATATCAAAAATAATATATAGACATGACAACAAATCAAACAATGCAATCCTGCTAGCCCTTCTCCAGCTGACAGGTTAAAAATTTTAAATATATTCTTCCACACAATTTTCCATGCCAATTAAAATAGCTTCAAACTCAATTACTCATGTAGGTATTCTAATTTCTCCATTCTTCCCCACAGCAGATGCCCTTGATGCCCCAGGGTCCCCATAGTCACCACAGTCCATAGGCAACCTGCATTCCTTGGCAGGTATTGCAGTACTTTGTACAGCACATTGACAACTTCTCACTTGAATCATCTAAGTCTTTCTTCTTTGGGGCCTTAGAGGCAGTGTTAGCATCATGAAAGTTTGTGTAGCCAAGACATTAGAAATCACAGGGTAGGGAGGTGAGGATTCTTACAACATAAAGAACAGAAGTCTATGGATAAATACCTACAATTTTCCCTCTGTCCTCCAGTGGAACCTTATGAGACACACTTCAAACTATTTCAGAGGGACTCTGACAGGTGTTTTCTAGGATAACCTTCTAAATAATCTATCTGCAGTCAACTTTTTGCCTCTGGGTTTGCTTTGAGGAAAATCCTAATCAAGACTCCCACTAAATGTTATCATACCATATGTATTAATCTGAGACTAGATTTTTTTATACCAATAAGACATTATATATATTTCTAGCTATTTTGTTTTACATATAGTTATATATTTATACAGTTTATACTATGCTGCTACATATATGTTTGTGTGTGTGTATGTATATATATATACATATATATATATATATACTTTCAGTTCATTATTTTTTATGGCTGAATAGTACTCCATTGTGTTTATACAATGTAGCCACATACACACACATATATGTAGCTGCATTGTATAAACATATATGCAACTACATACGTCTGTGTGCTTAGCTGCATGGTATAAACTTCAATCTGCAATCTGAGGTATGGATTAAATAGCCTACAGGTATATAACTTCTATATAAACATATATAATAGGTTTATATAAAGTAAAATTTATTGAAATATTCAAGTATATACGTACATGTATAATAGTACACTCTTCTGATTATAAGCTTCACATTCATTATAGTTAGAATCTCTCCAAAAAGTAAGGGCTTATATCTTAAGTTAAATGCATGTCACAGTTTAAGCATCCTAGATATAGGGGACATCTAGTTATTCTCAGTCGCCAGTGTACTTATAAGCTAGCATGAAGACATTCATTATCTTCATTCTCTTGTTCTGCTCCATCTTATGTTGCCTGCAGGCATGCTTGGCATATATCCATAGATATATCCATAGATATATGCCAAGCATGGCCTGCAGCAACATATATATATCCATATATATATATATATATATCCATATATATATATCCATATATATATATCCATATATATATATCCATATATATATATCCATATATATATATCCATATATATATATCCATATATATATCCATATATATATCCATATATATATATCCATATATATATCCATATATATATATCCATATATATATATCCATATATATCCATATATATCCATATATATATCCATATATCCATATATATCCATATATATATCCATATATATATCCATATATATATCATATATATATCCATATATATATCATATATATATCCATATATATATCATATATATATCCATATATATATCATATATATATCCATATATATATATCCATATATATATCCATATATATATATCCATATATATATATCCATATATATATATCCATATATATATATCCATATATATATATCCATATATATATCCATATATATATATCCATATCCATATATATATCCTTTATCTCATTTAATATAGACACATCACATCAACTAGATATTTTTAATTTCCAGAAATTATGCTACTCTGTAATGAAACTGTCCAGAAGCAGACACAGTCCCTTTAACTTTAGGACCCATCAGAATCTTTCTTTTAATCTTTCTAGACTACCTTTTTTTCTGGAAAGGCGAAATTCAATCTAATTCCTCTTTCAGTAAAACAGTGTCATATTTCATTTTTATTATCATTTATTCAAAAAATTTGCAAACAAATTAAGAAACATTGAGGTTGATTCCAGTTTTTATTTTTAGATATTTATGATGTTGAACAGGCAGTGATATTTATTGATGCTTTCAGTGTTCTTACATACTTTGGTAATTTCTCATAAGTTAAATGCCCAAGAAATAGATTGAAATTGGTTACTTTTAATCTGAATCTGATGTATTTATGAAGGTTAGATTGTGATTATGAATTTTTACAGAATATATTTTTCTCTCTATCATCCATTGAGGTACTTAATATCACTTTATTCTTTAGCTTATAGGTGTTGGATTTTTGGTGTTCCTTCCAGAAAGTTGCTGAGCTTTCTCTCACTTTTCAAGGGCTCTAACCTTTACATATGTATTCTCTCCAGTAATTATAGCAAAATTTTACACAGATGTTTATAGGAGATTTGTTCATAACTGCAAATACTTGAAATCAATCAATCACAGTATTCTTCCCTAGGTAAATGAATAAATAAACCGTGGTACAGCCAGACAATGAAATATTATTCAGCACTAAAAGAAACTAGCTACCAAGTCTTACAAATATATAAACTTAAACGCATATTAATAAGTGAATAAAAGCCAATCTAAAAAGTCAATATAATTTATTATTTCAAAAATAGGACATTTTGGAAAGGACAAAACTATGGAGACAGTAAGAAGATCAGTGGTTGCCTGAGGTTAGGGCCAACGTGGGGAGAGTCAAAAAGATACGGACGACTTTTACGACAGTGAAAATACTCTGTATTACCATACTGATGAGCAACTGTCATTATAAATTTATCCAAACCCATAGACTATACAACATCAAAAGAGAACCCTAATGAAACAATGGACTTTGAGTGATTTTGATGTGTCAACATACTTTCATAAATTGTAGCATGTGCCACTCTTGTGTGGGATGTTAATAATGTGAGTGGCTATGCTTGCCTGGGGATAGAAGGGATATAGGAAATCTCTATACCGTAACAGTTTTGTGATGAACATAAAACTTCTCTAAAACAAAACAATTGTCTTCAAAAAGTTCTGTTTTATCTAGGATCAGCATTCCCTTAGGACATGACCCAGTTTCAGGGTGTGCTTGCTTTTCAGTATTCATGATTCAGTTTTGGATTGTTCTTGGAGGATTTTTTTTATCTTATTAGATAAGCCAAAGGTTTAAAAAAATCATCATTTAGCCATGTTGTTGCAAATGGCAGGATCTCATTCCTTTTATAGTTCTTTTTTTATAGTCTGCATAGTACTCCATTGTGTTTCTGTATTACATTTTCTATATCCATTCATCTGTTGATGGACACTTAGGTTGATTCTAAATCTTGGCTATTTTAAATAGTGTTACAATAACCATAAAAGTGCAAATATCTCTTCAATATACTTATTTCCTTTCTTCGGGGTACATACCTAGCAGTAAGACTGCCGGACCATATGGTAGCTCTGTTTTTTTGTTTTTTGAGGAAACTTCATGCTCTTCTCCACAGTGGTTGTACTAATTTACATTTCCACCAACCGTGTGTGAAGGCTCCCCTTTCTCCACTCATTTGTGGAAGCTACAAATTAAAACCACTGAACTCATGGAGACAGAGAGTAGAATGATGATTACCAGAAGCAGAGAAGAGTAGTGGAAATTGGGGTGGGAAGTGGGGATGGTTAATGGGTACAAAAATATAGTTAGATGGAATGAATAAGATGTATTATTAGCAGAACAGGGTGACTATAGTTAATAATAATTTATCGTACAGTGAAAAATAGAGTATAATTGGAATGTTTTTAATACAAATAATAAATGCTTGAGGTGATGGATACCTCATTTATTCTGATATAACATATTGTATGCCTGTATCAAAATATCTCATGTACCCCATAAATATACACACCTACTATGTACCCCTAAAAACTATAAACGTAAAAAATTATCGAATATGCAAAGGGTTTTTAAAATATTAGAACCTCCTTGTTACTAAACCATGAAATTATGCTTAGCAAGTTCCTTCAGTACCAATTGTGAACTACATTATTAAATGCAGATTCTCATTTGGGACGTTGGCAGGGTGCTTGGCTCTTAGAAGAGGAATGCCAATCAATTTAAAACTTAGAGTTAATAGAAGAAAATATACTAAATTAGATAATAAATGATAGTATGGGAATTTAGGTGAAAGTATAATAATTTGGATCTGATGAAATTTTGGCTATCCCTCATCAAAGAGTTCAATCCTCACCGACAAGTGGAGTGAGTTAAAATGTCAAAGGCTCTGTCACTCTGTCACACTGAATATGTGGTATGAGAGAAATATCAGCGTTGACACAAAGCCATTTAACCTGAAGAAGTAAAAATTTAAGATTATTTTTCTTAGATGAGTATGAAGGTGGGGAGGATGAACAGGTGTTTGTTTTTTATGCAATGAGATTGAGATGCCTGTTAGATTCCCAGGTAGTTATGCTGAGAAAGCAGTGGGCCATGTTAATTTGGAGATACCTACATTTAAGCACACATTTGAGCATTTATTGGTGTATGGATAGTCTGAAAATCCATGACACTGATTAAAAATGACAAGGGAACAAGTGAAGAATAAAACAAGAAGCTATACAAAAGCTTAGCTCCAGGCCCATGTAAATTTTAGAAAACCACAGTTCTCATACTCACATTATGTATGCCATCCTTTGAACATGCCTAAGCAGTCTACAGATATTGAGGTTTTCCAATGAGTTTTATTATATATACTCATATATTTAGGAAAAAGCCTTTTTCTCTCATTTTTGTAAGCTTATTTTTAGATTTTGTATCTGTAATGAGCCTGCATTACCCTGATGTTTATTTCACACTCAGCATGTTAAACTATGGTTAACTTCAAAGGCACTTCATGCCAAAAGGAAACTACATCTGCAGAGCTTTCATTGGTTTTCTAGGCAAACAGGTTTAACTATAATTTATTCAGCATATAAATAGATTACTTTCAAAGATAAACCATACATATTTTTTGCTTTGAGATTTCCTTTACTTTTGAGGCTGCTGAAACCCTAGCTTATTTGAGTATTTAAAAATTAAGGCTTTTGTTCATTTTCAGCAGTTGCCAGGTTTGATGGACCTAATCTGTTTTGGTGTATAAATTTTTTTGTGAAGAATTCATTTGTTACACAGTTTTTATTTTACTCAAAAGATTCTAGTCTTTTGTACTTCTCTTTTAATGATGTTCTTCTGTGTTCAGAGTTGTTTTTTGTAATCCTGTCCTTGAAGCTTGTTTTTAAGCCTAATCTAAAATGTAGCTGATAACACACACAAAAACATTGTGGAACACTGGTAAATATACACCATTATTAGAAAACCAAGATCTTATTCCAGCTACATTTTGTCAAGGAACAGAATATTACAAGCACCCCAAAAACTAATCATGCCCCTTTCTAATAATGACTCCCAGACAGTAACTACTATCTTGACTTTAAAATTATATACTAATTTTAGCTGTTTTGTGCTGTATAGCATTGAAACCATATGACAAGTGCATCTTTTTATATCTGATTTTTTTAATTCAAGTTTTCTTGTGAAAGTCTCCCAAGTTGTTGTATATAGTTATAGTTGCTATACAGTAATCTATCATAAAAATATTTCCTAATTTAATTATTCATTTTTATCTTCATGGACATTTGATAATTTTCCATTTCAGAGCTATTTCAAATGTTTAAATATGCATTTCAATACTTTCTGGGAATATATGCCATATTTCCATTGGATATATACCAAAGAGTAAAATTTCTAGGTTAGAAGACAGCATATAGTCATCTTCTGAGAATATTAATAAACAGTTCCCAAGTACAGTTGTGCCATTCAAACTGCTCCCAGCACTTCATGAGAGTACCAATTGCTTTGTTTTCTTACTTATATTTGGAATTTTCTATTTTTTCCATTTTTGTTATTCTGATACACTTGTAGAATTTTTCCAAATGTGGTGTTAATTTGAATTTTTTGGAAAAATAAAGTTTTGAATTTTTTTACATATTTATTGACCTTTATCATTGTATGTATGTTTAAATGTTTTGTTCATTTCCATCAGCTATTTTCTGTCTTTTATTTATGAGTTTTCAGGAAGGAGTTTATTTTTAAACACACTTACTTTGCAGCATTGTGTGTCATCACCATTAAGACATCAGATCAAATTAATAAAAAAATTTAAAGACACAGGGCGAGTGTTCTAAACATAGAGGTGACAGATGAGGCCAAGGAAACAAATATAGTATCGTAAAGATAGTGTGGAGAATATGACAATAAAACAGAACTTTAAGGAACTGCTGGGACTAGAAAAAGAAAAATACAAAATAGAGCCTAGAAAGTAAACTGAATAGGAAGTACCAGGTTAGGGAGGCTCAGAGAACCCTAAGCCAGCTATTTAACCAGTCTTGTCATTGCTCTTGGAGTTCTATTGGAATGACCCACAAAAGCCTTCATGTTCTAGCAAGGCAAACTTACCACTGACCTCTACATGGCCTTTAGCAAACTCCCAGAGGAATTTTTCAAACTCTATGTTTCTGGTAAGACCATTCTGTAATCCATTTTGCCTCACTACTACTTGCAAGTTCAAAATCACAATTTGCATTAAGTGCCAACAATGCTAATCCCATCAGCCCACCATTGTGCTTACAACAGTCACCACAGCAACAGCAATATTTCTAACTTATCTTTCATCACCTGGACACTTTCACCTGAAATGGCTCAGTCTTTGGACTTAACTCCATTGGGGATTTATTCACATCTTATCCTTTGACATACCATATTCTAAGTATTATTTTAACTATTCTCAGACATATCTATAGCCATTCTCCCCTGAAAACTTCACTCATGTAAAGGTTAGTAAGATGATTATCAAGATCTCACACAAATGTTATTTTCCAAGCAAAAACATTGTATATTTAGAGAAATAAAATCAGAAAATTTCCCATAATTTATTCAGTTTAATCTCCCTACTTCCACTCACATCTGCCTGCAGTATAAATAAGAGCCATAGTGATTGTACTGATATATAACATGTCATTTTATACCCAAATCTTTATTATGGCTTCCAATATCACTCAAAGCAAAACTTCAAACTCTTACCTTCTCCTTCAGTATTTTGGTAACTTGTTGCTTCCATGCACTACTCCCCACCCTCTTAGTTCAATTTTCTAATACTCTTCATGTTCATTTGTTTTTAGTCACACAGACATTTGTGATTTCTTTAAATGCCCAGTAAGTCTCTGAGGTTGTTGTAGAATGCTAAACTTTATACCTAGAATTCATTTTTCCATATGAATATAGAGATTTTATTTCTGTTCTTTCAGATTTTTTAAAATATTATCTCATCAGAGAAGTCTTTATTGATTGTCTCAAATGAAATATCAACCCTATTTCACACTCTTTTCACATTGCTTCATCTTCTTCACTCTAAAAATTATAAAATTAGGAGCTAAAGGATTTACTGTCAGAAAATCAGAGCAGAAGTTTGTTAAGCTCATTGAGGTAAGTTGCAAGGAGGGCCTGAACTGAGGCACGATAAGTAATATAGGAGATAAATGTTTAGATGGATATAAGACTTTGAACTAGAATCACAAATAACTAACTACAGATATGAAGCAAAGACCAATGTTGGAAAAAGGAATCAAGGATAATTGGAATGACTGAATGTGTTTGTATTTCAACGAATGTATCAACACTGATTCCAAAAACAGCAAACAAGAATATGAGAAAAGCTTGTCTGAGATGATAGGGGAATGTGGAGGTAGGTGAGGGGTTTACAAATTGTGAACAGGGAAGACTGTTTTTTCCTATGTCATTAAAGCTATTTAATATCACCGAATTAAATTATTTCTCCCCAGAGAACTCTTAAATGTCCAGAGAAAAGGGAAAATAATCTCATATAAATTGAACAATCTTTGACTTCAATTACCTCAGTGTATTCTTACATAAAGCAGTTTTAAAAATAAAAAACTCAATGGGAAAACTACAGGCATATTATCTAAAAAATATATATTAAATATGTTTATATCAATGGCATAGAAAAATCATATTTATCACTTATCAGGAGCTTCAAACATGAGTAAAGTTCATAGGACTTTCAAGCACTATGGAACAAATACAAAATTTAACGTGGCCTAGAGAAGGTTTAGTTCATAAACTCAGACCGTAAAATTTGACTAGAACTTCATAAAAACTAAAAGGAACTTGACATCCTAATGTATCTAACACAATGTGGTATCCTAGAATACATTCCAGGACAGAAAAATAGCATTAATGGAAACGGTAGTGAAATTTGCAGTCTCTAGTTTAATTAATCATGTTAGACTAATGTTAATTTCTAAGATTTGACAAATGAACCATTAAATATTAACATTAGGGGAAGCTGGTTGAAGAGTATGCAAGAACCTCTACGTTATATCTATGATATCTGAAAAAATGCGAAATTATTACAAAATAAATTTTATTAAATTACAAACGTGAAATAAATGTACAATAATATAACACTTTTATAAAATATGAATATGTATCACAGCTGCAGTTGTGTTGTAGTATAATACTAAAAATGTGATTGTGATTTTATTTTAAATAATATGATATACATAAATAGAAAACTAGATCCTGGCTCCAGATGGCTGCCTAGAGAAATTGAACAGTCATCCTCTCCAGAAAGAAAAACCCAAATTACAAATAGATAATTATTCCTCAAACTAGGAGAGAACACTAGGAGAGAACACTAGAGTGAAACAGAGAAGTTATGGGGATACACTGAGGCATAGAAAGAGAAGGAAATAAATGGTCAACTCACCCACGATAGTCTGAGAGCCTTGAGGGATTCACTATTACGGGGAAAGGGTAAGCGAGAGAACTTCAGTGTTCCACTTCCCTGCTCTGGGCTGCTGTAATCAGAACCATGAGAGAGCTCCACTGCCCACACAGTCCCTGACACTAGCATGGGTAGTGATTTGAAATTCCCAAGAGAGTATTGTACCAGACAGGCAACACGTGCTAGGGCATTTACACTCCCAAGACCTAAGCATCTGAAATAAAGCACCATTGTGAGAGTATAGCCATAATGGGGCTGCATCCTGACCTGGAAACCACAGCTTCCATATCTCCACATCCCAAAATTCCTCACTAACAACCCCTAGTGTCTACATAGAGGGCTACAGTGGCACAGCACTGGCTGGACAAAAGGTGCTGTGGGGTCCCCAGTACTCTAGCCCACAGAGAGTACTACTCTCTGGGGAAAGGACAACACAATGTATTAAAAAATCTGGAAACTGAGACAATGAAAACTAAAACATATGCTTCCCAGAGCCTGAGTGCTCCCTGTCGGGGTCTGTGAGAAGTGGTCCCATGCTCAGCAGCAACACAAACTCTGTGCTAAGCCTCACAAGCAGAGAGTGAGATCCCCTCGCATGGGCATAGCAGCCTCTGGGCTCAGACTCACGTGAAGAGAACGGGACTTCTTCTGCACATTTGCACACCACTGCAGGCATAGTTTCTGCTGCTGCTGACAAAGGCTGAGGTGGATGAGCTAGAGGGCTGTCTGGGGCTGTAAGTGGTGACTATGCCTTCACTGGTGGTGTGATCCTTATGCTTGGCTTGTGTGTGAACAGTGGGGTCCCTCCTCTATCTGTGCAGTGCCATAGTGCTACTGCCATCAAGAGCAGACAAGTCTGAAAACTGTGTTTATGGGGATGTGAGTGACAACAACCTGCAATGCTACTGCAGACAGTAGCATACATGACTCAGGATCCAAAGGCTCATCTCACCACTACAACTCCCATTGCCCACATTACACCAGCTGCCTAGGGACCCAAGAACCCGCTCTGCCTGTCCCAACACTGCCATTACCAGCATCCCATGAGGCAATCCAGAGTCCCAAGAATTTGCCCACTGAATCCTGTTAACACCAGTGCCAGCATAAACCACCCTGGGGCCCAAGAACAGGCACACTAAGTCCATTGGTGCCACCACTGGTGCCCCAAAACTGGCCAACCAGGGATCCATTTTCCAAGCAAAACTTCATCATAGCCTCTGCTAATAACCAAACCCTAAACCACCAAGGAAATTGCATATACTACTTATGCTGTTGACAGTTGAATAAATCATACATAGGCTGCACTACTGAACACACTCAGAAGGAAAGCCAAAGGGCCCCACTCAACGAATATTATTAATATATCCTCATGAAAAAAGTCTTCCTCTATGAAAGTAAATTCAAAAATTAAAAGAAGTGACTATTACACCAGATGTGCAGATATCAACATGAAGACACAGGAGGCATAAATAAAGCAAAGAAATATGACACCTCCAAATGAACAAAATAATTCTCTAGCAACAGATCCTAATCTCAAAGAAATTCATGAAATCCCAGAGTACTAAAAAATACAAAAATCAGAAAATCACATAAGGATATAAATGAGAAATTTAGCAAAGAGATAGATATCATAAAAAAAAAGAACCAAACAGAAATTCTGGAGTTGAAGAACTCCATGAATAAAATACAAAATAGGTCTGTAGGCAAAGAATTTTCAAACTCCATTTAATGATATAGGTTCAAAATCTATTCAATGAAAAGTTTTCAAAATTTATTTAATTAAATAATAGATAAAATTTTTCCAAGCCTAGCAAGAGATTTAGACATTCAGATACGGGGCCCGACAATACTCAAACAGATGCAATGCCAAAAGGCCTTCTTCAGGAAATATTATAGTGAAAATATCTAAAGTCACTGATAAGGAGAAAATTCTAAAAGCAGCAAGAGAAAAACATCTTGTCACCATAAGAGCCCCGAACAGCAGACTTCTTAGCAGAAACCTTACAGGCCAGGATAAAATGGGATGATATATTCAAAATGCAGATAGAAAAAAAATCCAGTCAAGAACACCATCTTCAGCAAAATTATCCTTCATAAAGGAGGGCAAAATTTAGTCTTTCTCAGACAAGCAAATGATAGGGGAATTCTGGTTTTACAAGAAATGCTTAAGGGAGCTCTAAACCTAGAAGCAAAAGGATGACATTTACCAAGAAAACACACACACAAAATAAAACTCACTGGTATTTCAAACACACAAATGAAGAAAAGACTCAAATGGTACCACCACAGAAAATCAGCAAACCACAAGGAGAGTCAATAAGAAAAAGAAAGAAGGAAAGAATATGCACACCAGCCAGAAAACAACATGAAGAGAACAAAACCTTAAATATCAATAATGACCTTGAATGTAAGTGGCTTAAAATATAAACTCACTGAATGGATTTAAAAATATGATCCAACAATATGCTACCTACAATAAATACACTTCTTCTGAAAAGATATAACTAGATCGAAAGTAAAGGGATGGAAAATGATATTCTATGCAAATGGAAACCAAAAGTGAGCAGGAGTAACAATACCTGTATCAGATAAAAACAGACTTTAATGGAAAAAAGAAGATAAAGATAGTCATTATATAATGATAAAGAAATCAGCAAGAGGATATAACAATTCTAAATAGATAGGTTTCCAACTCTGGAGTGCCCAGATTCATAAAGCCAATATTATTATATCTAAAGAAAAACTAATTATTATTTAGATTACATATCACAATATGGTTATAATGGGGGACTCTCACAACACCCACTCTCAGCATCAGACTGATCACTAAGGCAGGAAATCTGCAAAGAAGCATTGTACTTATACTGGACTTTAAACCAAATGGACATGACAGACATTTACAGAACATTTTATCCAGCTGCAGAATACATTTTTTTTTCTCGTTGGCACATGAAACATTCTCCAAGATTGAGCATACTTTAGGGTCATAAAACAAGTCTCAAGAAATTTTAAGAAATCAAAATCTCATCACATATCTTTCCAGATTACAATGGGATAAAATTAGAAATCAATACCAAGAGGAATTTTGGAAACAATACAAATACACAGAAATTAAACAACATGCTCCTGAAAGCCCATTGAGTTAATAAATAAATTTAAGATGCAAATAAAAAAGTTTCTTGAAACAAATGAAAATGAAAATACAACATACCAAAATCTGTGGGACACAGAAAAAATACTGCTAAGGGGGAAGTTCATAGCAATAAATGCTTACATCAAAAACTAAAAACAATTAATATAAATAATGTAATGATCTACGTCAAGGAACTAGAAAAGCAAGAACAGACGAAACCCCAAATTAGCAGAAAAAAAGAGAAATAATAAAGATCAGGACAGAACTAAATGAAATAGAGGCTTAAAAACCCACAAAGGATCTATCAAATATAAAGTTGTTTCTTTGAAAAGATAAATATAATTCATAAATGGCTAACTGGATTAAAGAAGAAAAAAAGTGAAAAAGGAGACATTACAACTGATATACAGAAATACAAAAGATTGCCACAGAGTTTTATCAGATAAAATATCAGATAAACATAGCCACAAAAATATTCAACAACACTGAATCCAATAGCACATAAAAAATAATATACCGCTATCAAGAGGGATTTAGCCTAATGATTCAAGGATGGTACAATATATGCAAATTATCAATAGACATGATACACTGCATCAATATAATGAAGGACAAAAAGCATATGTTAATCAATATATACAGAAAAATAATTTAACAAATTTAACAATCATTCATGATAAAAACTCTCAAGAAAGTAGTCATAGAAGGAACATACCTCAAAATAATAAATCCATACATGACAAACCCATAGCTAAAATCATTCTGAATGGAGAAAAATCTGAAAGCCTTTTTTCTAAGAACAGGAAGAAGACAAGGATGTCCATTATCACCACTCCTATTTAACATAGTAGGGGAAGTCCTAACCAGAGCAATCAGGCAAGAGAAAGAAATAAAAGCCATCTGATTTGGAAAAGAGGAAGCCAAATTTTCTTTCTTTGCAAACACTATGTCTTCTATCTTAAAAAAAAAAAAAAAATACTCCACCAAAAAACTCTTAGAACAGAAAAACAAATTTGGTAAAATTTTAAGACACAAATCCAAAACACAAAAATCAGTAACATTTCAATACACCAGTAATAAAGTAGCCAAAAAAGAAATCAAGAAGACAATTCCATTTACAATCACTACAAAAGTAAAATACCTAGGAATAAATGTATCCAAAGAGGTGAAAGCTCTCTATGAGGAAAACTACAAAACACTGGCAAAAGAAATTGAAGAAGGCACAAATAGAAAGACATTCCATGCTCATGAATTGGAGAACATGATAATCTTAAGATGACACAATGCCCCGCTAAAATTAATAAATTTAAAGCAATCCCTATCAAAATAAAAATGTCATTTTTATAGAAATAGAAAAAGCCATTCTAAAATTCATATGGGACCAAAAAAGAGTCTGAATAGCCAAAGCAAACTTGAGCAGAAAGAACAAAAGGAGTCATCACACAACCTGACTTAAAACGTATTACAGGGCTACAGTAATGTAAAAAGCATGGTACTGGCATAAAAATAGACACATAGACCAAAAGAACAGAATAGAAAACACAGAAATAAATCCACATGTTTACAGAAAACTGAACTTCAACAAAGTCATCAATAACATACATTGGTGGACACCCTATTCAATAAATGGTTTTGGGAAAATTGGATAACCATATGCAGAAAAATAAAACTGGATGCTTATCTCTCACTATATACAACAAATCAATTCAATATGTAATAAAGACTTAAAGGTAATACCCAACCTGTAAAACTACAAGAAAAAAAAGTAGCACAAATTCTTCACGACATTTGTCTAGGTGAAGATTTTTTGTCTACGACCTCAAAACCACAGGCAATAGATAAATGGGACCATATTAAGCTAAAAAAGTCTGCACAGCAGAAGAAACAATCAACAGAGTGAAATGACTACCTCTTGAATGAGAGAAACTATTTGCAAATTGCTTATCTGACAGAGGACTAACATGCTGAATTTACAAGGATCTCAAACAACTAAACAACAAAAAAGACAAATAATTCCATTAATAAATGGGCAAATAGCATGAGTAGACATTTCTGAAAAGAATACTTACAAATGGCCAATATGTGTATATGAAGGTTTTCTCAACACCACTAATCACTGCGGAAATGCAAATTTAATAAAACTAATAAAATATAATTTCTCCCCAATCAGAATAGCTATTTGTAAATATATATTAAAAAAAACAGATGCTGGTTAGGATGCAGAGAAAAGAGAAATCTTACACACTGTTGGGGGCAATGTGTAACCATTTTGAAAAAAAGTATGAAGATTTTCCAAAAAACTAAAACTAGAACTACCATTTGATCCCCAGCAATCTCACTACTGGGTATCTATCCAAAATAAATATATAAAAATAATACCTGTGCTCATATGTTTATTGCAGCACTATTCACAATAGCAAAGATAATGCAATCAACCCAAGTGTCCATCAACAGATAAACTGATAAAGAAAACGTTGTTTGTGTATGTGTATATAATAGAAAAATGGATAAAGAAAATATATGTGTATATGTGAATATATATGTACAGTGTATAGTGTGTGTGTATATGGGTGTGTGTATACATATACACACACACATATATACACACACATATGTATGGTGTGTGTAATACTATTTGACCATAACAAATAAAATCATGTCATTCCCAGCAACATGGATGGAATTGAAGGACATTATGTTAAGATAAGCCAGGCAAAGAAAGACTAATACCTCATATTCTCACTCATAAGTGGAGGCTAAAATATCTAGAATGTTTTACAAGTGCTGATAATTACCTACTTGACTATCAAAGCAGAAATTAACTTAACTTGAATGACCTGCCATACTACGCTATTATATATAGAGATAGAACTCTAAGATTAAAACCCAACTAAATGTTGATATAATCTTATCACCTAAACTATAATTAAGTGAAGGTTGAATCATGACCCAAGATTTTTAGCAGTATATAAAGATAATTGAAATAGATATCATTATTCCTGCATTTGATGAAAATCATAGAAAGTTTGAGTTTATAACAAAATAATCATACGTGAATTAACTATTTACAGTTAAAATTGAGCTAGTAGCTATGGGTAGACACAAGCTGAATATAGTAGAACACTACTGATCCTTACATGAATTGTAGCATTCTTTACCAATTTTTGGCTTGTTGTCACTTTAGCTTTTTATAAACTCAGCTTCATTTAGTAATCCTCTTAATCCTCTTCATATTTTCTGCTTTCATACTTGTCATATGACTACTTTTCTTCACTGATAACTTTTTTAAAATCATTTTCTTACCTATCCATGTCATTTTTATTTCAGTTCTTAAGCTTATTTCATAGTTGACTTCATTTTCTGTCTACAAAATATTCTCCTTAACATATATTGAACTATGATATTCATAAAAAAATTATGTGCTAACACTAAAAAGAATGAAGACCTTTGCTATAATGCCAGAGCTTTGAAGAAAAGATTATGCTCTCTTTCAAATATGTACCATTTCTAATGTCTGATAATTAAATCTGTGCAACAAATAACTGAGATGACCTTAGGAAGTAGTGATATTCATTAAAAAATTATCTGGAAATTTGCTAGATAACTATTTACCACAGCTGTGAGTATATGTGCAGATGTATAGAGTCCACCCTCAATGCGGGGTTCAGGTAAAGTAACATAAAAGTCTCTTATGGCCCTGACATTTTGACATATTTTAGCTACCTGTATGTAATAATGAAAATGTTTGACTCCCCACCATACTTTATTAAATACGAACCATATCATTATTTTGTGGTCTGTTGTATTTACTGCAAAATATTTTTTATCCCTCTACCATATAATATTTTCTTTATACATTTAATACTTGGGCAAAATCGAAGCTTTCTAATTCACGTTATTAAATGGACTTTTTAATGTCATCAAAACTCACTATGGCATAAAACTGTACTATACTTAATTCTTAATTACTGTTAATTATACTAGATGTAATTCCATTCAAAGGCTTAATGTTATATGTCAAAATCACAGCAATCAGCATAGTTAACATAGATTCTCTGTTATCTCAATTTTATCGCTATAAAATCAAAAGAGTAACTATCTTTGCTGCGAGTGTTAAATAAATTGCCAAATATGACAATTATGTCAAAGGGTAGGAGGGGAATAAATCTCTAAAGGAGTGAAGTCCAAAGAGTGAGCCACTTGGGGTTTAAGTGTCCAGGTGATGAAAGATAACACATAAAATATCATTTTAGCACCTTTAAATTATACTAAATGGAAAGCATTGAGAATGGCAAAAAATAAAAAGACATGAATGAGGGGACGAGGATACAGAGATGTAAAAAATGGAGTAACATTTAAGGCCCTTGCAAAGTTTACTAACTCTTGTCATTTCCTGTGCATTTTAACTCTACAACACCAGGAGTGATTATTTTAGAACTTAGACATAAGTACTACACACATATATACCTAAACATTTTGTATGTCATCATATCTCCTGCTGAACGATTAACAATATATATATATATAATTTTCTGTCTCATCAACATTTGCGTGTGTAAAACAATTCCATTAGCAACATCTTTTGTAATAAGAAATAATGACTAAATTTGACAGTCATATCAGCTAGATATTAATTTCTAAAGTTAGAGTAAGAGGTGTAATTGAAATGAATTACTGGCAGCTTTGAATTTACTGATACAGGAAAGAATCTCTCCATTAAACTTGAGAATAACCACTGTGGCTTCACTGAACAATTTGCTAAAGCATATTGCAGTGCATTGGATATTTTCTTTTCACCCAGTTTTTCCATTGCCTGGGGTGGTTTCCATCTTCTCTACTTAGTGATTCCCGAACCAGTGTAAAAATCACTATTGTCCTGAAAATCAAAAAATCCTCTAGAGATCACTCAATAGCCATTTTATCCTGTTCCAGTGGTAACAATCTTTTTCTACTGCTATATCACTTATTTGCATAATAATTATTTGTTTATATTTCTATCTCCCAACTAGAATATAAGCCCCTCAAAGTCAGGCTCATCTTTGTCTGCCAGAACAGGCATAGTGCCTGATACACAGTGGCACCCAAATGCAGAAACAGAATTTTGCATTCTTCTGAATTGGTTGAAATTCTAGTCCTCCATTTTACTTGTTAAACATTACGCATGTTACTTTTTGTTTGTAAGTGCAGCTAAAACATAAAATTTCTGTGTAGTAAAATCTGTTTAAGTAGTAGTTCTTTCTGAAAGAAGTTATGATAGAAGAGGAAAGAGCTGTGGATGTTAATATAAAACAAAATTAAATCCTAAATTAAAAAGGTCTCAGGAAGAAACTTTTAAGATTAGACAATAAAAATGTCTTTAAGAATTCCAATCCCATTTTCTTGTTCAATATGAGGACTTGCATATATATTTATAACTTGCAACAATCCTTTTATGTTTTCTGTTACCAATATATTTGTACCTTTTTTACTGCATTCATAATAAAGAAATCTCTCAACACTTCAAAAATTATTATTACACAGGCTATCACCTTTAACTTTTAATACTCTAAACTTTACCTCTGAAGCCCTTATTCACAAATTTTTAATTTAGTTGTCTGGAATAATAAACGATAATAAAATTTTCATTCATTTTTCCAAAGATATATGTACTGTATGTTTCCTTTGTTATCCAGATGTTTCCAAATTTAGGTAAAATGAATTTATGGATTCAATAGATTCTTTATCTTAAAACAGCATGTGTATGTAATTTTTAATCATTTTACAATAGATATATTAATGAATAAAACATTTTCATTGACAGATGAGTGGATAAAGGAAATGTAGTATATACATACAATAAAACGTACTATTCAGCTTTAAAAAGAAGGAAATTCTGCCATATATGACAACATGTGTGAACCTGGAGGACATTATGCTGACTGAAACAAGTCAGGCACAAAAAGACAAATACTATTTGATTCCACTTATGTGATAAGGAATGACTGTTACTTAAAATATAAACTCATAAAAACAGAGAGAAGAAAAGTGATTTATACCCGTTTGAGTATAAAATTTCAGTTACGCAAGAAGAAGAAATTCTAGTGATCTGCTTTACAATATTGTGCCAATATTTAACAATACTGTGTGCTATCCACTAGAAAATTAGTAAAGAGGCTAGATTTTGTGTTGTGTTCTTACTATAATAATAATAATACAAAGGAACAAACTATTTTGTTTTTAATTGTATAACATAGAAGAAAATTAAAATGAAATATATGAGCCCATATAATTTAGTATGAAGATAAAAAAAAAAGTTCAGGAACAGAATACTCTATTTTCTCCTGTGAACAGATATTATTGTTTTCCTTGCAATTAATGCTCTTTGTATTATTTTCATCTATTTAGCTATTCTCTATCTTCTATCTACCTATTATCCATCCATCTATCCATCCATTCATCCAACCATCCATCCATCCATTCATCCATCTATCCATCTTTCTATATGCTCCATTTTTGTCTGTAGTCTGTAAAGTTTCAATATTAAAATATTAAGAACAGTACTTTCTTCTTAAAATTACATTATGGATTTAAATAACTTTGTTTTTTAAAATAAGATTTATCCCATGATATATTAATCATTTAAAAAAGGATGTTTGTTAGTTTAAGATTTCTTTTAAACTATAACTGTGAATAGCTGCACAGAAACACATCAGCTATTTAATATTTATATATGTATAAATAAAACTATTTTTTCACAAAAATAAATTATGCAATACATATATTGATATCTAAAACATTATTTTTGAAAGTAGACCATTTATATTTTATTGCTAGATGTAACACCTTTATACTATGTAATTTTGCAACACACTATCGAGCCCTCTGGTTTACGTATCTGAAACTTTATTCCTATTATCTGACTGTTTTCTTGATAAAGTTTGAAATCAGAAATTCATACAACTAACATAACAATCATTATCATCATTTTTGACACCCTACAGAATTCCAGTAGCAGATTCTAAAGTTGCTTGGAGTTTAGGAATCTTATGAAGAGTAAAGAAAAATTCAGCTGATTACTAGCACAATGCAGTAGTTGTTTGCCCAGACTGATTTTCATTAGAGAGAAAAAGATCTATTTCTTAGAGGCAGGGTAGACTCTAATTTTTATGCTTAATTCCAGTCTTTATATGTCATTTAATTAATAAAGAGCCATGGGGAAACAACCAATTTAGCTCATATTTAAGCAACTGTTTTAAAATTACCTGAACAGCAAATATAAGCCATTTTAAATGAGAAAATTCGGCTTAATGAAAGATTTTAGGTAGCCATTTGGGGACTGCTTAATCTATAGATATTTTAGAGGCAATATTAAGAGAAAAAGGATATGAATATTATACCATCTACAGTAAATTATATCAAGATGTGTTAATCAGATTGTTAGAATAAGACAAACATCCATAGAGCTTCTCAATACGCAAATTAAGGAGAAAATGTGTCAACACTGACTTTTGTTTCTTGAAAAAGGAGTTTTATATATTTTTAATCTTAATTAGGCAATAGTTACCTATTGAGAGGCGACAGCGTGCTGGCAGCCCTCGCTCACTCTCGGCGCCTCCTCGGCCTCGGCGCCCACTCTGGCCACGCTTGAGGAGCCCTTCAGCCCCCCGCGGCACTGTGGGAGCCCCTCTCTAGGCTGGCTGAGGCTGGAGCAAGCTCCCTCTGCTTGTTGGGAAGTGTAGAGGAAGAGGCGCGGGCGGAACCTGGGCTGCGTGCTTTCACGGGCCAGCGTGAGTTCCAGGTGGACGTGGCCTCAGCGGGCCCTGCACTCGGAGCCGCTGGCCGGCACCGCAAGCCCCAGGCGGCGAGGGGATTAGCACCCGGGCCAGCAGCTGCGGAGAGTGCGCTGGGCACTGCTGGCGCTGCGCTTGAATTCTCGCCGGGCCTCAGCTGCCTCCCCGTGGGGCAGGGATTGGGACCTGCAGCCCGCCATGCACAAGGCTCCCCTGCATTGCCGTGGGCTCCTGTGCAGCCTGGTCTGCCCTTGCTCTGCAATGCCGGTCCCATCGGGCTGAGGAGTGCCCACGCATGGTGCCGGACTGGGGCAGCTCCGCCTGTGGTGCTAGCACAGGATCCACTAGGTGAAGCCGGCTGGGCTCCTGAGTTTAATGAGGACTTGGAGAAACTTTGTCTAGCTAAGGGATTGTAACCACACCAATCAGCACCCTGTGTCTAGCTCAAGGTTTGTAAATGCACCAATCATTGCTCTGTGTCTGGCTCATCTAGTGGGGACTTGGAGAACTTTTATGTCTAGCTCAGGGATTGTAAACGCACCAATCAATCAGCACCCTGTCAAAATGGACCAATCAGCTCTCTGTAAAACAGACCAATCAGCTCTCTGTAAAATGGACCAGTCAGCAGGATGTGGGTGGGGCCAGATAAGGGAATAAAAGCAGGCTGCCCGAGTTAGCAGCGGCAACCCACTCCAGTCCCCTTACACGTTATGGAAGATTTGTTTTTTTACTTTTTGCAATAAATCTTGCTGCTGCTCACTCTTTGGGTCTGCACTGCCTTTATGAGCTGTGACACTCACTGCGAAGGTCTGCAGCTTCACTCCTGAGGCCAGCAAGACCACAAGCCCACTGGGAGGAACGACCAAAGGCGCGCCAGCTCCAAGGCGCGCCAGCTCCAGGTGCCCCGGCTTGAAGGTCTGCGGCTTCACTGCTGAAGCCAGCGAGACCACGAACCCACCAGAAGGAAGAAATTCCGAACACGTCTGAACATCACAAGGAAGAAACTCCGGACACACCGCTTTTAAGAATGGGAACACTCACCGCGAGGGTCCACGGCTTCATGTTTGAAGTCAGTGAGACCAAGAACCCACAAATTCCGGACACGCTATTTTGGATTATAACTACACATTTCACTTGAAATGTTGGTAGATTAATTGTACTTCCATTTTTATACGCTTTAATTTTGAACTGACAATGTTTACATTGATGCAATGCAAAGGAAAAGAGAAAGCATCCTTGTCATATTAGAGAAAACTTCGAACAGTTAAAATTTTATGTAAGTATTTAATTGCTTCATGTTCAAATACTTTATCATATAAGTCTAATTGATCATTCCTTTTACAAAATAATTTCTCTGCTTTGTCTTTAAAACTTGTGTTTAACCCAAAAATGTAGCCCAACATATTCACTGAAACATTCTAAATAACATTTATTCATTACTGCCAAATACAAGCACTTCACCCTTTACGCACTTAACAATGCAAAATTACGTGACATTATTTCCAGAATATTAAAATCTATTAGAGGTCTCAAGCCAAATATACTGACTATGAATGTAGGTACCCTAGACTGTAAATTGCTTTATTCAGAGCAAACTGAATAAAGTTCTGATGATTATATATGGGTGAGAAAGAAAATCTTAACTGAATGAGGAACATTTCAAAAGAGATAGCGGTGGGCAAATATTTACTGAGTTTGAGATACCTGAAAACACCACTTTGGCTTAGGTCAAATACATACATAAAGATACAGTGAGACGAAGTTTCAAAATGTGTTTGCATTTGAAAGCCCTGATAAGGAGTTTGATAATTATCTAGCACACCAGAACAGTTTAGAGCAAGAGAGTGATATTTTGTTTTCTTCAAATATTTCTGATTGTCTCCCAGATCAATTTTTAAAAATCTGTTTCAATGAAATGTCTGTGGATTTGCTTTCACAAACAAGGGTATAATGAAGAGAAGTGAAACAAAGAGAAATGAAAGTAGCACAATACTTAACAAGACAGTTCCTGTCAAGAGTAACCAAAGGACACAATACTAGGTATTTTCCAGTAGGCATCTTAATTTTATGATAACTGAGACAACAAAGAAATGCTTGTGATATTCTATTAATGAACATAAGCAAAATCAAAAATGGGAGCTCAGTAGGTCTGAAACAATATTGCCCAGAAGCATAATTAGGGTGAAAAGCCAGAACTTAAAGAATACTTTTAGGAAGAAATTATAATAAGGATCAGCACACATCACAATAAGAAAAATAACATGAATTTAGTTTAGATAGGTGTAAAAGAAAAAAATAAGATGTCATAAGAACTCATCAAAGCTATATATGGTGAATGAATATACACAATATGTTGAATAAATATCACTTCTGCCTAAATGTCGTAGATATAAAACATGGGGAAAAAAGAGATAAGATGTATTTATAAAACTCTCCACTGCAGACATGATGTTAGATTCTCATTTGTCTTACACAACTACATTCAATGTAGATATCATAATCTCCATGACTAAGATATGAATTTAATTGCCCAGAGTCTCACAGCTTGGATTGGATATCCAAGGAATGGGCAGGTGTCCTATTTATCTTCCTCTCAAGTCAATTCCACAGTATCATGATAACGTGTTATAATTTTACGGAACGTAAACTGCTAACTTCATCAAACAATTATAATAACTTTTATTGCTAGCATTTAGAATTTATAAAATATTTTTAAAATCATATTTAACCCTTACAAACAATAAAGACATGTTGATGAAAGATATTTAGAGAATTAAAAAACTTGAAAAAGTCACAAATGTGAATATTTATTAAAATAAAGTATATTATGTACATTTTAATGACTAACACTTTTGGAGGATACTCTTTCTTGTCTATTCAGTAAATGTAGGTCATATTAAACTATTTGCTAAAGCCATAAAGAGTTAGTATACCTTTCCTGTTCACTAAAATTTAATGTCTATAACTGCTACTTAATTGCTTAAATCGGATTTAAAGTCAACATATTCCAGCAATTGACCTGAACTATTTGCCTTTTTAGTGCTTTTGATATGTAAATAGACAATAGAATTTTCAAAAAGAGGAGTTAAAAGAGGGGCTATATGCCCATTGCATTCTTCTCTTCAGATTTGACATGACGGTGCCTTACTTTGAAATTCCAGATATGAATTTACTATATATTTTTAATTTTTGGCCCAGAATACAGTAAACCTTCAATAACGTGAGCACTTTAGAATATAAAATCAACTTAAGCACCCACTTGTTTCTTCCATTCCTGATGTAATCTTTATCTTTGCCAATTTGCTGGAGCCATGTCTGACTTGTATGTTTTATCCTTGGTGCTTGGCAGATTGTCTGATAATAAAAAACTCAACAACTCTCTGTTACATAAAAGAATGAATAACCAATTGACTAATTCAAAGAATGAACTTCTTTTATGTTTATAAGCCATCCATACTTTATTAAGTGTATATATATACAATATGCACAATATTTATACATATACAGATAATCTTACTTTGTATACTAACATTGCAATATAGTTATTCAAAATTTTCAGAGAAACACATAGTTCTGAGAGGCATTTGAGAAGTTTCTCAGTATCCAACAGCCAGTAAACAGCAAAAAGTATTTAGAGAAGGGTATGCATCCTTTAATGTTCATATTTTCAAATTAATAACGATATCATAGTGCAATAAAGTTAGTGAATACTGCTATGCTACTTGCGTTAATTAATGATATTATCTAGAGGGTTAATAGAAGCTTATAATAAAATTAAGTATGCATCACAAGTAGGCCTTCCCATCATCATCATCAAATCATGGTTTAGATTTCTGTCTTGTGTTATGAAGCATAACGTAGAACCTATGCATGGGTTCCACATCGGTGTGTTCAGTCAAACATAGGTCAAAATTATTTGGAAAAAAAATAGCAATACAACAATAAAAATAATACAATTTTTAAAGTGCAACTATTTACATAGCATTTACATTGTATTCGGTATTATAAGTTACCTAGAGGTGACTTAAAATATACAGCAGGATGTGCATAGGTTATATGCAAATACTGCACCATTTTATGTAAGGAACTTGAGCATCTGTGGATTTTGCTATCTTGGGGGTCTTAGAGCCAATCCCCTCTGAATACTGAGGGACAACTGTATATTTAATGTGTTCAACATGCTATTCTAATATACGTACACACACACATATACACACACATAGTAAAATGATTACTACAGTTAAACATATTAACTTATTTATCTCCTTACATAGTTCCCTTCTGTGTGTTTGTTTCTGTGTGTGGTAAGAGCATCAAAAATCTACCCTCTTAGCAAGTTTTTAGTATACAATATTATCAACTGTCATCCTCATGCTATGCATTGGATCTGTAGACTTATTCATCCTACATAACTGCAAGTGTGTACCCTCTGGCTAACATCTCCTCATTTCCTCCGCTTCTCTGCTACAAGCATAATTTTAAAAAGTTTTTAATGAGATTAGAAATATTTTAGAGTTGATTATTCATATTATATTTATTAATACAAAATAATAGTTTAACAAGAATCCTTCCAGAAAATATGGTAAACAAACTTAACACTTGCAACGATGCTTTCCTAACCCTACAAAGGATTCTGATTAATTTTTATTCAGAATACATTTATTTATTTATATAATGCATGTTTATGAAAAGATAGAAAAGTTGTTATTTACAGGAATGCTAATAAGGCCTTGAATAAATGGTAAAGAATACATTTATTAAAATTGTATTTATTTGATAAAAATAAATTTGTTCTTACGAAGAATACATTTTCAATATAACTGTGTTGAGAGTCTTTTAAGAAACATAAGAAGACGATGATAGTCAACAGAATAGTATATACGTCATTTATTGACTGTTCAAAAGCATAATGACCACAACGGGAATTTGAGAAAGGAGGACATTTCATTATTTTCTACATAGGAAATAAAAATAAGTTTCAATTTAGTTTTTAACCAGATAGCAATACTCATTTACAGTATCATCATGTCTTAAGGACATGCAATAATATAATGCATAAGCTGAATAAAACTGTATACTATTCTGTGTGAATATAAATGAAGAAAAATAAATTCTATCAGAGAGGTAATAAATATCATGGAGAGGGCACAGCATTTTGTTAAGTAACTCAATTTTTTCTTTACCAATCACTATACTCCAAATCTTTGATTGACTAACCCAGGGGATATTTTGAGAAATATTGAAAAAATAAAACACTTGTATTTCTACTATGGACCCAGTGCTTTTCTCTACAGAATTCAAAATACATTATGGATTTTTAGGTTCATAAAGTCTATTTGCAAAGTTTTCTGAACAATAAGATACCCCATAGCGGTAAATCTTTCTTACAGGATTCTTTCCACTACCAGAGACAATGTAGTTTCAGCTATTTAAATAAGATTCTAAATTACAATATTAATATAACTTCAGAAGTATTGCATACGTTTACCTTAAGTAAATAATACATTGTGTGGAATTTAAAATTCTGTGGCAGAATTTGTTATTTCTAACATACTAGTTTAATTAAGACATAAAGACTTGTCAAAATAGTTAATAACAGTTTCTGATAACAATAAGTTGATCTTTGTAATTATGCTTAACTTCTCAGTAGCAATGTTTTCAAGGTACATCTCAAAGTCCTATGAGCATTTCTCCAAATAACAACGTTTCCTACTTTTTCATAAACGTGTTATATAAAGAGATCTCATAGATACATCTCTGTTAATTAGCATGTTATGCTCTAATGAAATTATGGGTCCCAAAATAAAGGAATAATTTGGTTGTTGCCTCTATTTAAATAATAAGCAAATTTAAAAATAAACAAAAACAATAGATAATACATAGCTAAATTCAGAAGCACTAAGAGTTTGAGATGAGGAAATACATTTAAGGGAGAAAACATACATATAATCACTAATGACTAGACAAGCAGAGTAAGAGTAAGTTTATAGTGAAGATTAGGGGAACCAGCTTTAGCTGATTTAATTAACTGTAAAGTCCTTATGTGGAAGTTTTCTTCTACCATAGATCTATCTTTTGGAAATTTGAGAAATATCTTAATAATTTTCATTTGATTTATAGTAGTAAATAACAAGAGATTTAGTGATGATTAAAAATGTTGCTGATAATTTTAATTCAACATGCATAAAATGTAACTCAAGTACATTAGGCCAGTGAGTACACAGGTGGTAGCAGGAGCGAACAATAAAAAAGAAACCATTAAATATGTTTGGATCAGAACCAAAGGAGAAAAAGGTTGACAGATGAAAATATAGGGGGAAAAAAAGCTGTTACGCATTAAATCGTGTCTCCTCAAAATTTCTATGTTAAAGTTCCAAGCCAGAGTGCCTCAGAATGTGACCTTATTTGCAGATAGGGTCTTTACAAAGGTCATGAAGATAAAATGAGGTCATTAAGGTGTACCCTAATTCAACTTTATTAATGTCCTTATAAAAAGGGAACGTTGGAGGCAGACATAGACACAAAGAAAATGTCAAGCGGGAATAAAGGCAGACATCAGGGTGATGCTTCTACAAGCCAAGAACACCAAGATTTGCCAGCAAACCACCAGAAGGTAACAGAAAGCCATTAAATAGGTTCTTCCTCACAGCTTTCAGAAAAAAAAAAAATCAATTCTGTTAACACCTTGATCTTAGACTTCTAACCACCAGAACTGTTAAATAATAGATTTCTGTTGTTTAACCTACACAGCGGGTGGTACTTTGTCTTGACAGCACCAGTGAACTAATACAGAAACTGGATGCAGGGCAGCAAAATAGATACAAGCTTCAACTTAGTGAATAAACTTTCAGAATAAATCAGCTTTTTAAATCTTCATCCAAAAGTAAGTATAATGTGGTTTTAGAAAGGTAAGAATTTTTTTACATTTTTATTCAGATAGCGTTAAACTATCTGATATGGTATGGGTCAGTGTCCCCCCACCAAATCTCATGTCAAATTATAATTCCTAGTGTTGGAGGTGGGGCCAGGTGGGAGGTGATTGGATCAAAGGATTGGATCCTTTGGTGGTGGTCTCATAATAGTGAGTGAGTTATCAAGAGATCTAGTTGTTTAAAAGTGTGTAGCACCACTCCCTTCTCTCTCCTCCTCCTGCTCTGGGTCATGTAAAATGTGCCTGCTTCCCTTTCAACCTCTGCCATGATTCAAAGTTCCCTGAGACCTCCCCAGCCATGCAACCTGTACAGCCTGCATAACTGTGAGCCACTTTACCCTCTTTTCTTTATAAATTACCCAGTCTTAGGTATTTCTTTATAGCAGTGCAAGGATAAAGAAATATACTATCCTAACTTTTTTTTTCTTTAAGTCTCTTTGTAATTTTGTTTGTGTTAGAGTGAGAGGTAAGTCTTTACCCTTGTATGACATTGTCTCTATGAACGCATTTTCTGGTCAATTTTGTGTTTGTCTGCTCATCAAAATGGGCACATTAAAATTACATTTTTTTCCTCTGTGTCAGAAAACACATGTAGAAAGTACAAAAAAATGTGAAAGTGCAGATTAACCATTTATTCAAAACAAACAACCACGTAGCAACCCAAATTATGACAATGAAAACTGCAAAAACCTGGAGCCTCCTGTTGTGTCCTTAGCTAGTTACAGCCTCTATGATTCCTTCTTCAATGGTCATTATCCAAATTTGAGGGTAATAAGTTCTCTTTTCTTCATTATTGTACTCCAATGTACACATTCCTAAGCATTATTATTAAATATTGTTTGTAGTTTAAGTGATGCTGGTTACAGCAGTGATATACTAGTTGTGAAAGCAAGTTCACTGTCTCCTGTGCAGTTGGAATGGCAAAGGTCTCATGAAGCTTATCTCATTACTCAGTATTGTGCAATTTGAAAAAAAACAAAATTTCTCCCAGTACTTTATTCACTAGTGATGTGGTTTGGCTGTGTCCTCACCCAATTCTCAACTTGAGTTGTAGTTTCCATAATCCCCACGTCTCATGAGAGGAACCTAGTGGGAGGTAGTTGAACCATGGGGTGGTTATCTGCATGCTGTTCTGATGGTAGTGAGTTCTCATGAGATCTGCTGGTTTTATAAGGGTTTTTCCCCCTTTTGCTCAGCACTTCTCCTTCCTTACATCATGTGGAGAAGGAGATATTTGCTTGCCCTTTCACCAGGACTGTAAATTTCCTGAGGCCTCCCTAGCCCTGCAGAACTGTGAGTCAATTAAATCTCTTTCCTTGGTAAAAGTTTCAGGCAGTCTTTTACAGCCGTATGAGAATGTACTAATACAACTAGGTTGAACAATTCAGGCTTCAAGCCAGTAGGAAGTGCCCACAGGTAAAAACTAGCTGTGGCTAAAGCAGGCCAGTAAATGCAGTACCCAAATGGTGGGCAAAGGTTCCATCCTTGGCAGAGGTGCCTGGGAAAGTTCTCAATGAAATGCACTGAGGTCTTCTAAGGTGGAAGAGAGGGCACCACTACAGCTCTCCTTCCAAACCAGCAAGAAAACAATCCACCTGCCAATCACACTCCTTACTCAGTGTTTTAGCTATTCAGATCAGACAGGCACCTCTTTTCAGCTGCAGGAATGCTGGTGTTCCATGTTGTGAGGGGTTGTGAGGCTACCTCTTCTGCAAGCCTGAACCTGGAGGGCATTCCTCCTGTGGGGAGGCTGTCACCCTGAAGTGTTCGAGGAGGGCTGTCTACAGGTTTATCCACTCCAAGCTCCTGTGCGAGAAGTCCCAACTGTGTCTGCAGTGGTAGATGAGGGGGAGAACTCCCCTTCTCCAAGACTCTTCATGAGCACCAGGGCTGCCTGATTGTTGGGCAGACCTTCCCCATTGAACCCAGCAATGCACCTGTGCCTCTGCTGTAAGAAACTTCTCATAAGTGGAAAGTTCAGGGACTCAGGGCCTGCAGTTTGGTTTCTTTTGTCTCACGGGGTCTCCCTTAATGTTGTCTACTCTCCCTTCCCCTAAAAGTAGCAGTCCTTGCCGGCCAGATTACTGTAATCCTGCTGCTTCTCTGGGTCTGTTCACCCAGTGGGGCTGCCATACTTATGATGGTCCTAGGGAATGTCTGCAAGGGATCCGGTGATGTCACCTGTACTCTAGTCTCCCAGTGGCAGGTACCAGCACCAGCTCTGATGAGGGTGGACAAGAAGTAAGTTTTCCTTGGTTATAAATAACGTTATTGTGTTGGCTTTCTCAAATGCCAGCTTTAGTAGTATTGGGCACGTGGACATACTCAACACCTCCTTGTTGGCTAGGGTAATGCAGGCAATGGCAGTAGTTGAGGTCACATAAATGTTTTCTCCTTCCTGAGCACTGTGTCATTTTGTTTTCAGATGGTGTAATGGGATGTGCCAGTTGGCCTCCAGCCAGGAAGTGGAGCTTGCCAAAGAGCACCAGCTATGTTGGTAACAGTGGAATTTGTGCCTGCCTTATTTTACCCAAGGTAGATATTCTTGTGTATCAGGCAATGGGGGGGCCACGGAGTTCCCAAATGTACCTGCCCATCACGTTAGGCTATCAGGATGGATGGAAGGACAAAGCTGGGTGCGGGTGGGTCCGGCAAGTTTGCACTCTGGCTCCCCATATACAGGCTCAAGCAGTGGCCCCAGTGGTGATCAGAAGGCAGTTCCCCGACCACTGGAATACTGTTCCAGGGAGGAGTGCTGCTGCCTACACTGCACAAAAGACCCATATGAGGAGCAGCAATGGAGCTGGTGGCAGTAAGCCCCACTCAGTTCCCAAGTACTTGGCAAGGCAGGTCTCACACCCACAGTGCTTTGCCGCAACTAGCTGGTTCCAGGGAGCCTGCGCATAGAACTCAAAACTGCCCCAGGCCATAAGCCTTCCCAGTGGAGACAAAAACTGTGAGTTTCAGGCCATGCCCCTCTTGATCTGCCAGTGAAGTAGAGGTGCTCAGCTCCTGTGCCCATGGCTATAGCACACTTCCTGCACGTCCTTCCGTCCTGGCCAATGAGTTTTGTCCCCAGTCATGATTCTGTCTCAATGCTCAGTTGATGCTTCTCTCAACCTGTGACTACATCATGAGTTGGCTGGCAGATTTCCGTGAGGTCTCCTGTGAGAAAGGATTTGGAATGGCTTCCCTCTGTCCCACTGGAGTTTGAAAGTGCATGCAAATCTTATCCCAATGCCACTCCTTCTCTTAGAGTCCCCACTGCTCACTAAATCAGCTCCACTGCTATATTGGATTAAGACCTTCTGTGACCTAAAATGCCTGAGTCCCTTTTGGGAGTGTGGGTCACTGCAGCGGTTTCTCTCTCTCACATGCTATGGAGACACACAGTTTTCCTCTGGCTCGTGGTTTAGGCCGTTGCCCACTGGTTCTTTCCAAAGGCCTGTGGTTTCTTTCACAGCATGAATCTTTACACACTATTTTGCCTTTCCAAGTGGGAGAGACATGCTAACAATGTCTTCAGTCCACCATCATGGAAAAAAAAAGTATTTTTTTTTTCTGTCTACAGTGGAAACACTCTTGCTTTCTTTTACTAGCTGTCTCATACTCATCCTGATTATTACCTGGACCTAAGAATAAAATCAGATGTCTACCAAGAATCCTTTTGAGGGTAAAAGAATGTAAGAAAACAAAATTGGATAATAAAGACAACACAATAGCTTATTCCACATGAGAACTAGATGCTGGCAAAGTAGTGAGAAATGAGAAGTTTTTAATCATGAAGACAGAGCAGAGAAACTACCTTTTCCAAAAAAGTAAAGATCATAGGTTTATGACATTTCCAGTATATTTGTGATTTATTCAATCTCTCCTGCCTTACTCTAATAAGAGAGTTTCCTACACAATATTTAGGAGCATTAATTATAGAGCTTGACTCCCTGAGTTCAAATCTAGGCTCCACCATGGGAATATATTAAGGGTTTTTTTTTTTTTTGAGATGGAATCTCACTCTGTTGCCCAGGCTGGAGTGCAGTGGTGCCATCTCTGCTCAGGTGATGTGCCCGCCTCGGCCTCCCAAAGTGCTAGGATTATAGGCGTAAGCCACCGCACCAGGCTATATTAAGTTTTTAATAGATTTCTTAACATTTATTTAAGCGCCTTCATTACAGAATAATAGAATAGTTCCTCAAATCTTCCAGTAGACATAGAGTGCAAATAAATTTCAATTTCATGAAGAGCATTTTAATTGACAAATAATTTCCACAAGACGGAAATGCTATTGAAGTCAGCTATTATTGGAAATTCTCAAACTCTATTGGAAAAAAGTCCTAAAAGGCAAGATTCTAAAATGAATAACAATCAATCCAGGGCACAATCAAAGGAAAGTGAGGAAAAAATCTATTTTTGTACTTAATTCATTTCTTAACTCTAAATCACACAGACTTCAATTATTAAATACTTTGTGGGTTAATGTTTTGAAATGAAGAATTTGCCTCTTAATGTGAAAGCTACAGTTCATCATAAAGTTGATGAAGTAATGTTCTTGGCTTCGTTACTCCCCAGAGAAACTAGTTCTCTTTTTGTGCTATGTGCTTGGCACATACTAAAAAGAGAATTAAAAAAAGAATGTATTTCCCATATGAAAATATGGCAGAATATTAATAGATTGAAGTACTACAGCTTCTCATAAAGCACTGAAGGCCAAACACTAATCATTTTGCTGGGAATTTAAATATTTTATATGGAATCTGTTATGTGTTTTAATTCTCACTGTAAAACTGGAAATGTATTCTTAAAATAAAAGTCCCCTAAACATAATTGAAGTGACCTCAATAACAATAAAATATTCAAAGAACATAACCATAACCATAATGAGCCAGAAAAATAAAACATTAAATCAAAAGATATAAGAAACACTAAACTTCTCTCCATGAAGTACTAACACTTTAAATAAGGAAAGATTAAAGCGAATTTTTTTTATTTTAGCTAAAACTGTCGCATCCTTTAAATAAAGATTTATTACTGTCTTATTAAATGATGTATATTTAAATATGTCATATTATGCTGCATCCTTTTGTGAAATAAATTTATGGATAATATTTTATTAAATGAGATACAGAAAGAAATAGTTTAATAATTTTAGTGTGACTAAATATCTTAACATTATTTTTAAAACTTCTTTCTCATATTTTTGCACATGTAGCTTTTACATTTTCTTACTTGTACCATTTTGAGAACTTAGTGAGAAAGGAGGGTCACAGCCCTTTTCAAGAGCTGGGATTTTTTGTCTAAGGTTGTAGTTCTAACACATTTTTCTGGACTTTTTGGCTTGTCTGGTCCCTAGAAAACTTAAATCAGAAATAATAGTGTGGCTGTGATGAACAAAGAGGGCAGTCTGGTTAAAGATTAAATGGGAGCTAATTTAGTGATCTAGATAATAGGATCTAGTCCAATTAGCCAGCAGGTACCAATAGGCAAGTTTCTACAATAAAATATGTCTCACTGGGGCTATTCAGGTTCACAGAAATAACTGTCCCATGGATTTGCATCTCAGAATTCATATCAGCCATTTTGATGGAAATGTCCCATTCAAGTGGTAACACGAAAGTGTTAAGTTCTCGTTTATGAGATGTCAGTCCCAAGCAAACGCGGTAACATTATGTTTAAGATAAATCCGGGTCTATTAGACTTATATAACAAGGTAAGGAATATGTACTCTTGCCCCCTATAGTGTAGATAGCTGTATTAGTGGCAAAACAGGTGTTATTGCAAATACTTAGGCCCATGAAAGGATACTTGATTATGTTCTGGTGGAAATATAGATTGCTTTTGTTTGAAATGCATTGAGGTTTAAAGAAGGTTTTTTTTTTTTTTTTTTTTTAAGTTTAGAGAAAAAAGCAAAAGGACCTCCAAGTGATAAAGAATTCTTTTAGATCTTAGAATGGTACAGAATTTGAAGCAAACCAGAGGCGTTCAAGGGAAAGGGAGCATATAACAAGCAACTCAAAGTGGGGCTCTAAGATTGTGCTATGGATAGAGTGAAGGAATGCCACTCTGGGAATTCTGCAGTCCTTGCAAGAATGGAGAAATTATAAAGTGTTGGTGGTAAGAGGAGATTGTAAGGGCTCTTCTAACAAGATTCAAGATTAATATTCCAGTGATGTCACCTCCAGAGAACTGTTTCTCCAATTTCTAGGTTATAGAGTGGTTTTGATGGAAGAACTGGAGGAAAGGCAGCCTTGGCCTGTTGATGATAAGTTTGAATAAAATTAACTAATTTCTCATTATTTTAGAATGTTTGAAAAATCAGGATAGAATCTTTGAGAACCCAGATAGAATAGAGAATTTGCATAGGCCAGATAGTTATTATTTTAGATGAGCACTCTTTGTGTGACCCAGAAGAGACAGAGGGGAATTAGGACTAAGAATAAAATCCCAGGCCATGGGAGATAAAATTTTTCCATTAATTTAGCAAGCTTTAATTTTAATAGTTCATTAGCTCTCTCTATTACTCCAGGTGAGTGGGGATAATGGAAGAAATGTAATTTTGAATAAAAAAAGAACTCAAGGGATTTCTTGGATGACTTTACCAGTGAAATGAACCTATTTCTTATAGTCACTTAAAGAGCCAGTAGAGCTCTCCATGTGGGTAATACTCATTGTAACCCAAGTTTAGCAGTTGCAGTTACCTCTTTACAAGGGAAAGGCAAAAGCCAGAAAGAGAACATGCATATGGTGGTAAGAACATATTCCTATTCATGAGATTTACGGAGCTGAATGAAATAGATCTGTCAGTGAAAAAAAGGTCCTGCTGAAGGTAGTTATTTTCCTGGCGCTACCTTTGCAACTTTACCGGGGCTGTGTTTTTGACAGAATGGGCCAGAAGACACACTTCTTTCAGATAGGCAGTGAAGTTTCTCCATTAATATCGGTGAGCAGTTGATTTAGTTTCTCTCTTTCATTGTGAATATTTTTATGAAGGTAAGACTGCATCCAGATTTGGGACTGAGTAGGGACAAAGCAGTCTTGTGGGTGTCTCCAAAATACTCCCTGGTAGACAATACATCCAATTTGTTTCCCTTTGGTCTTTTTATGTTCAGGGGCTTTGAACTGGGAGATTGTAAGTTCCTCCATTACAGCATTGGGTGGTTAAGTAGAGTAGATTTAAAATATCTTCTGATAGCGGTGAGAGCTTTATGAAACAGCTGTCAGTTTAGCATATTTATCAACCCAGATGGTTTTTTTTGTTTTTTTGTTTTTGTTTTTGTTTTTGTTTTGTTTTCTTGTTTGTTTTTGCTTCAAAGGTTTTTTGGAGAACATGAGTTTCTATTTTAAGTATGGCCATCTCATTTGGCAATAAGAAAGCTTCTAAGAGGCGTTACACCTGTTTTTCATTTTTAATTGGTGTCCCCAATGGTGTCATAAATCATTTTGTTTTCCATAACATACCAAAATTATGTGCTATTCCCAAAGCATATCTACTGTCTGAATAGATGCTATGTCGTCTTTAGCTAAAGAGCAGATTCTTGTGAGTGCCACATGTTCAACAATCTGAGCTAGACACTTATAATATGATGTTGGCTGTTTGAAAATGTATAATGGCAAATCATGCCTAAAAATTTCCTTCTGAGCTGCTCAGATACGAACCCTCAACAGAGGGTAAGTTCTGGATTTGCAAGTGGGATCTGCGAAAGTCTGGGCAAGAGATATTCAGTCTAGAATATTGAGTCTTGAATGGCCATAATATAATCATGTAGTTGTCTATCAGTTGAGAGAGGGAGGAGAGTGGTACTCTCAGTTAACAATGATGTATAGTGAAATTAGAAGGGTGTAGAAGAATTTCATGAAAAGTAAACTGAGGAGCTGTGAAGTTTTGAGTGTTTTCAGGTAGAAGGGTCTGGACTGCTTGAGGTATATAAATGTTTAGACTCTGGCTTCATCGAAGGGCGGTCATTGCTTGAACTAATTTTGCAGTGGCCACTGTTGTTTAAAAGCAAGGATGAAAAGCCTGTGCCACAGGATCTATAGTAAGACTGAGATATCAGAAGGACCTTGTGGTTTTCATTGTGTTTTTATGCAAGGGCCCTCAAGATGTGCTCTCTTTCCTAAACAAATAGAAAGAAAAGGAAGGGATAGTTAGGAAGCCCTAAAATGGGGATGGAGGAAAGGCATTTTTTTTAGAAATTCAAATGCTGTTATAGAAAGTGAGTTCCATTTTAGGGATTCAGACATAATTTCTTTAGTTATGCCCTAGAAAGGGGATACTATAGTAAAGAAATTAGATATTCATACTCTACAATAGCCAAACAGTTCCAGAATCCCTCCAAACTGTCTCATGGATTTATGTAGGAGGTCATTAAGAATGGTCTTGAACAATCTGGGGATAAGGTTTTCCCATCGGGAAAATATGAGTTAAATAGTTCACTTGGGGATACAAAACTGAACTTTATTTATTTATTTATTTATTTATTTATTTATTTATTTATTTATTTATTTTTTTGGCTATCCAGTTTCCTGGCATCATTTATTGAAAAGACTAGTCTTTCCCCATTGAATGATCTTGTACCCTCGTCAAAGTTAGCTGAACATAGACACATGGCTTCATTTCTGAACTTTTAATTCTATTTCATTGATCTATGAGTCCCTCATTCTACTAGGACTACACTGTTTTGATTGCTGTTTGTCTGCAGTGTAAGTTTTCAAAGAGTTGGAATATGTGAACCCTCCAAATTTATTATTCATTTTCAAGATTATTTTGGCTATTCTGACTGCCCTACAATTCCATATGAATTTTAGAATTAGCTTGACAAGTTTTACAAAAAAGCTAACTGGGATTCCAATAGGAATTACATGGTAGATTAATTTTAGAAATATTGCCATTTTAACAACGTGAAACTATAATATTAGCCTATAAATGTGAGATAGTTTTCCATCTATTATTTTCAATTTATTTCTATCTTTAAAAAATTCATTTCAACATTTTGTAGTTTTCAGATTAAAAGATTTGTACCTCCTTGATTAAATTTATAAGTATTTTGATTTTTTGATGCTATTGTAAATGAAATTGCTCTCAATTTCATTTTCTAATCATTCATTGGAAATGTGTAAAAATGCAATTGATTTTTCTATATTAATCTTGTATCCTGCAAGTTTGCTTTACTCTTTTATTAGTTCTAATAGTTTTTCAGTGGATTTCTCAGAATTGTCTATATACAAGATCATGTCACATGTGAATAGAAATTATATTACTTCTTCCTTTCCAATCTAGATGTATTTTTTTTTATTACTATACTTTAAGTTCTAGGGTACATGTGCACAACGTGCAGGTTTGTTACATATGTATACATATGCCATGTTGGTGTGCTGCACCCATTAACTCGTCATTTACTTTAGGTATATCTTCTAATGCTATCCCTCCCCCCTCCCCCCACCCTACAACAGGCCCCAGTGTGTGATGTTCCCCTTCCTGTGTCCATGTGTTCTCATTGTTCAATTCCCACCTATGAGTGAGAACATGCGGTGTTTGGTTTTTTGTTCTTGTGATAGTTTGCTAAGAATGATGGTTTCCAGCTTCATCCATGTCCCTACAAAGGACATGAACTCATCCTTTTTTATGGCTGCATAGTATTCCATGATGTATATGTGCCACATTTTCTTAATCCAGTCTATCATTGATGGACATTTGGGTTGGTTCCAAGTCTTTGCTATTGTGAATAGTGCCCCAATAAACATACGTGTGTATGTGTCTTTATAGCAGCATGATTTATAATCCTTTGGGTATATACCCAGTAATGGGATGGCTGGGTCAAATGGTATTTCTAATTCTAGATCCTTGAGGAATCGCCATACTATTTTCCACAATGTTTGTCACCACCAGGCCTGCTCTACAAGAGCTCCTGAAGGAAGCACTAAACATGGAAAGGAACAACCGGTACCAGCCACTGCAAAAACATGCCAAATTGTAAAGACCATCAATGCTAGGAAGAAACTGCATCAACTAACAAGCAAAATAACCAGCTGACATCATAATGACAGGATCAAATTCACACATAACAGTATTAACCTTAAATGTAAATGGGCTAAATGCTCCAATTAAAAGACACAGACTGGCAAATTGGATAAAGAGTCAAGACCCATCAGTGTGCTGTACTCAGGAGACCCATCTCATGTGCAGAGACACACATAGGCTCAAAATAAAGGGATGGAGGAAGATCTACCAAGCAAATGGAAAACAAAGGCAGGGGTTGCAATTCTAGTCTCTGAAAAAAGAGTTGTATAACGTCATAAAACAAAGAAGGAGGTCATTTATATATTGGATGAGGGTTGAATTGCAAGGCCAGATGAAAATCTTCAGATTTACATTTAATGTTCATGAAAAATAAGCAAAAGCATCGACAAATCTCTGGGGTATGGATGCTCAAGCATAATGTTAATTTGTCCATGTAATTTAAACTGACATTGGGAGTTAGGATCAATGGATACGCTGATTAAAAAACAGAGAATAAGTCAACAATAGTAAAATAAATAGCATTGTAAGATACAGAAATGAGGGGAGTATCGGGGTTTAGGATGAGAAGCAACCCAGGTTTTAAAATTTTATTTGTAGCACACAAATTTTGGACTAATTAGTAACTTTTTATTGGGTCTTTTAATAGTTAAATAGGTGTGTGGCAGGGACTGGAAGTGGAAATAAGGAGCCCCCCTGCAGGGGGTCCTTCAATAATAGGTATGAAGCCTTCAAATGCATCATGTTTTAAAGAATACTGAGATAGTTTAGGAAGGGGCTTAGGGGGATCAAAAACTCGGCTTCCCAGATATATCCTACCTCTATAGTTCTTATAGCTCAAGCTGAGTCAGGATTGGGATGGAGTATGTCTATAATGTAAAGTTTTTCACAGGCTTGGAGAGCTGTGAGAGGGGCAAGAAAGCTGAGGTAATCTATTAGAATAGTCAAAAAGCAAAGATAGAGTAAGGGTCTGCAACTTCAAGGGTTAGTCCCACAGGTGAACATTAAATATTAATATTTTAATTAGAAAGGTCTATGGTTAATAGATTAACGAAGGTTGTGGATTTTAATAAAAAGCTTAATATCTCACAATTCTCCACTGTAATCCGACAGAGTACACAAGGGATTCCAGATGTCATGCAGTCATCTGGAGTTAGACTTGAATAATTTCTTCAGACATTTTTAAAGGTGCTATATGTAATTAGACTTTGATTCATTTCTTTGTTGTTGAGGCTTTTGAATCTTTTACCCATCAATTTTAGTACACAAAGGATTGTGTTCTCTGAGGGATTATAGTTGGGGAATTGTGAGGTGTTAAGGGAGTAAGAGTTGCTGGTTTTTACCAGAAAGTGGTGAGGTGGTCATTATTTGCGATTATTATTTTCCTGAGGGTATTTGAGTGTATTTGAGGGCAAACATAAGCAGATTCCTTATGGTACAGTCACTGAGACTCTGATGTGGGCTGGTGTTTGTTTGTTTATGTTTTTTTTTTTTCCTGCTCCGATGGGGCATATTTTAGCACAATACTCTTTTCTCTTCGATATCTACAGGTATCTCTATCTACTAAAATTTTTGTTGGAAGATTGCCTGAAGGTTTTAGGATGGTTTTCCTCAAGTCATTTAAGTCTGAGTTATAAACTTACAATGTGTAAACTTAGCATCACCAACCTGTACATCCTAATGGTCTTGTGCTAAAGCATTAGTTTCAAAACAGGCATATTTTGCCAATGAATGTGATGTTTTTAATAGCCTCTTCCAGTCCTGAACCAAGTCCATTAACAAAGGTGATAACCAAAGCAGATGTCATGCAGTCATCTAGAGTTTGACATGAATAATTTCTTCAGACATTTTCTAGGTGCTATATGTAATTAGACCTTGATTCATTTCTTTGTCGTTCAGACTTTTGAATCTTTTACCCATCAATTTTAGATGGGAAAGCCATCAGTGTGGAGTGTAAGAACTTTTTTTTCTAATTTCTTTACCTCAGTTATAGGTCTTAGTGATACTCTGATTTATTCATAAATTGTTATTAACTCTAACCCAATTGGCTTTTTTGAAACATAAAGAGACATCTCTAGATTCTAGAAGGAGTTGAATAAATTGGTAGAGATCTGGGAATCTCAAAGAATAAGCCCTAAGACCAACCTAAATTGTGTAGAAATTTTTTCTATTTTTATGTGGGTTTGAAAATCGTTATAGCATAGAAATGATATCTACGCAAAAGTTTTAAAGTAATCTGTTGAGGAGAGGCTAAGTGGAATCCAATAGCTACTTATCCTCAGAGTCCTAATACTGGAGAAACAGGATGGAGGTCACAGGCTACCATAGGAAATTGAGAAACTGATGGGGTCTGGATGGGATAATAGAGTAGAGGGTAAACACAAGATGGGTCAGAACAAGATGGGGTTGGGGGACAGAAATACATTTGGAAGAACAGGAGGAAAAGGAAAGCCAAGTGTCCAGGGAAAGTGTATCTTAGATTTGGGGGGGAAACCAGGAGTAGCATTGGAGGAAGACTGGTGTTTTTAAGTGACTAAATAGTTTGTAATAAGGAATATTGAGATTGTTGAAGGTGCTGCTTGAGATTTGATTGGAAAAACCACATTTTGGCTTCTTTAAAACAAGAAAAAAAGATCATTGTTTACAATAAATTTTAGACCCCTGAGATTCAAAAGCTCTTCAAAGATAAACTAACCTGGGGAGATCCCAAAGCCTCAAAGTGCCGACTGTAATTCTAAATTACTCTTAATAAGATTTTTGCCATTTTGAAGATGTTGGACAGAATTAATGCCATAGTGATGAAACCTCTAGGCACCTGGAGTGATGGAAGAAGAGTGCCCAGTTGATTGAGAGTTATCTATAAGAGGAGCAAGATCAAGTAGAGAAAAAAGACAGCAGGAAAAAGTCATTCCATGCACAGTGCCTATCTAAAATCCAAAAGGGTTTCTTGCACCATAGTTCTTAAAGAGCCTAAGAACTTGCTCTAGGCAATCCCTGGACAAGGAGTCCAGAAAACAATAAAGCCTTCACCAAAGAGTCAGAATTTCCCACTTGAGAGTCAAGGAGTAAATCTCCACTTGAAAAGAGATAAGAAAACTCAGACATATTCTCTGTGTACTAGAAAAATTCAGGGAGAATTCTACTCAACAAAAAGAGTGAGAAAGTAAAACCCCACTCAAACAAAAAAGCCAAAAATACTTCTATATAGGAAGATTCTCAATCCATGTAAAAGACCCATAAAATGTTCTGCTCAAACAGTAAAAAACCAGGAAACATCCTGATCAGACTTTAAAGGACTGTGAAGAACACCATTTAATAGAATTAAAGCAACTTCCTGTCATGTAACTTCAGGCAAACATGTCCGGAGCACTGGATTAAGAGTTGTTACTCATCACCGTGAGTCCCTATTTCCCAGGCCAGGAAGAACAAAAATGGCCTGAGTAGCTGGCATAAATACTTGGGTGAAGACAGCAAGGGCTAGGAAGTCATCAGCATTCCAAATGAGTCAAGACACCAGAAACTGTCAAATAAAAATAGATCCAGGAAGTAGGTTTATTCAGAAGAAAGACTATTGGAATAAGAAAACTCCTCCATTCTCAGAAGTCTTCAAGCCTCTCAAAATCAAACAGAATAAGAATTTCTTCTTTTATAGGGTAAAGGAAGGATAATTAGAAATAAACAGAATATTTCAGATATTTCCAGAGAAAGCTGGACAAGCAAGAGAAAACGACGAGGTATGATAGGATTAGAATTTCACTGTGTCAAGCTGATTTTCAGAGAAAAACCGATAAAGGGGACAAATTTTCACTTTTTTAGTGTTTGCTCAGGCTTGGGAGAAAACAGAGTTCAGGGACCTGTAGGAAGGAGAGAAGCCTAAAATTTGGTTAAGACAATGCCTAGGGTAAGAAAATAGCAGCTATGAACATTTAGTCAGTATTGTTTTTGTTCTTTTTTTTTTTTTTTTTTTTCGTAAGCTCTCCAGTTCAGTCAACAGAGCCAGAACACCAGCTGTCTTTGTTGGCTTGTGTTGCCATAAAGGAATACCTGAGATTGGGTGATTTATAAAGGTTAATGTGGCTCACAGCTGTACAAAAAACATGGAGCCTGCATCTGCTTGACTTTTGATAGGGCCTCAAGCAGTTTCCACTCATAGAAGGAGGCTAAGGAAGGCAGATGTGTGCAGATGCAGATCACATGGCAAGAGAGGAAGCAAGAGAGACACAATGGAGGAAGTGCCAGGCTCTTTTCAATAGCCAGTTATCCCAGGAACTAAGAATGAGAGTTCACCACTCCCTCAAAAATGCCACTAAGCCGTTCATGAGAGATCAGCCCCTGTGATTTCACCAGGGCCTACCTCTAATAGTGAGGATCAGACTTCAACATGAGACTCAGTGGGACCAAACAAACCATATCCAAATCATAGTACCAACTTCTGTAATTTCCATGTTTGCCCCAGTGATGGAGAGCTACAGCGATTTGCTCTCCAACTTGACACTTGCTGGTCTACCAGCACCTATCATCAGGGGTGATGGATGTGTGGATTGTCCATGTCGTGATCTCACAACCAAAAAGGTCATTTATGTGTCATCAAATATGGAAAAATCCAATCTCAAAATCCCATCTACAAGTTGGCTTTTCTGGAATGATTTCTAATACCATCGACTTTCTCAATCAGGGTACTGGCAGAAAAGGTGAACCACACAATTCACAATTCGTATTTATGTGTTATTTTAAGGAAGGGCTACTTATAGAGATGTAGGAAAATTTGGAGGTAACATATAACAATGTGTATGTTGACATACAGAGACTTGTAACATTTATAACTGTTACTATCCCTAGACATAAATTACCAAAGAGAATGAAAGCATGGAATTATGAAAACATCAGCCACTCACTGAAAGTGCAACAGGGATAATGAGAGAGGAAAAAAGAAAAAGCTTTGTTTTCTCCCTCCATCCTCCAGATTCCTTTCTCTGTCCACTTCTGTATGATTCTTAAAAGAAGTCAGAGTACAAGGGATACTGAAAGATGTAGCCACAGGCACAAGCCTCCTGGAGCATAAAGCAGGGCACGGGAGGGCAGAAAATTGATCTGGGTAGTTGGTAGTAGAGAATACCAGCATAATGGAAAAACTCTTCATGTCTAACTTGTCATTTTTTGCCTGACATATTATTATGAAACATTTTCAAACACAAAAGAGTTTGGAAGTATTGTGGTGTGAACACCATCATGCCCAACATCTAGATCCTACAATAAACATTTTGAGATTTGCAATTTCTCACATATCCACACATCCATTCATATTATTATTATTTACATCTCAAAGAATATTGCAAATGTCAGTACATTTCAATGCTAAACAGCATGCTCAACTGTTCAACACTAAGCAATATCATTAACTACAGATCAATATTTTTTATGTAAATTTACTTTTAATGAAATAAACAAATCTTAAGTATACTAAACTATGGATTTGTAGAAATGTCTACACTGTGTAACCCAAAGTCTTATCAAGGCATAAAATAATATTACCATCATCTCAAAATTATTTTAATTGTTAGATAATCTTATTTCCCTAAAACAATAATTTTTTCAATTTGTTTAAATTTTATTATTATTATACTTTAAGTTTTATGGTACATGCGCACAATGTGCAGGTTAGTTACATGTGTATACATGTGCCATGCTGGTGAGCTGCACCCATTAACTTGTCATTTAGCATTAGGTATATCTCCTAATGCTATCCCTCCCCCCTCCCTCCACCCCACAACAGGCCCCAGTGTGTGATGTTCCCCTTCCTGTGTCCATGTGTTCTCATTGTTCAATTCCCACCTATGAGTGAGAACATGCGGTGTTTGGTTTTTTGTCCTTGCGATAGTTTACTGAGAATGATGATTTCCAATTTCATCCATGTCCCTACAAAGGACATGAACTCATCATTTTTGATGGCTGCATAGTATTCCATGGTGTATATGTGCCACATTTTCTTAATCCAGTCTATCATTGATGGACATCTGGGTTGGTTCCAAGTCTTTGCTATTGTGAATAGTGCCGCAATAAACATACGTGTGCATGTGTCTTTATAGCAGTATGATTTATAGTCCTTTGGGTATATACCCAGTAATGGGATGGCTGGGTCAAATGGTATTTCTAGTTCTAGATCCCTGAGGAATCGCCACACTGACTTCCACAATGGTTGAACTAGTTTACAGTCCCACCAACAGTGTAAAAGTGTTCCTATTTCTCCACATCCTCTCCAGCACCTGTTGTTTCCTGACTTTTTAATGATTGCCATTCTAACTGGTGAGAGATGGTATCTCATTGTGGTTTTGATTTGCATTTCTCTGATGGCCAGTGATGATGAGCATTTTTTCTTGTGTCTTTTGGCTGCATAAATGTTTTCTTTTGAGAAGTGTCTGTTCATATCCTTTGCCCACTTTTGGATGGGGTTGTTTGTTTTTTTCTTGTAAATTTGTTTGAGTTCATTGTAGATTCTGCATATTAGCCCTTTGTCAGATGAGTAGGTTGCGAAAATTTTCTCCCATTTTGTAGGTTGCCTGTTCACTCTGATGGTAGTTTCTTTTGCTGTGCAGAAGCTCTTTAGTTTAATTAGATCCCATTTGTCAATTTTGGCTTTTGTTGCCATTGCTTTTGGTGTTTTAGACATGAAGTCCTTGTCCATGCCTATGTCCTGAATGGTAATGCCTAGGTTTTTTTCTAGGGTTTTTATGGTTTTAGGTCTAACGTTTAAGTCCTTAATCCACCTTGAATTAATTTTTGTATAAGGTGTAAGGAAGGGATCCAGTTTCAGCTTTCTACATATGACTAAGCCAGTTTTCCCAGCACCATTTATTAAATAGGGAATCCTTTCCCCATTGCTCGTTTTTCTCAGGTTTGTCAAAGATCAGATAGTTGTAGATATGTGGTGTTATTTCCGAGGGCTCTGTTCTGTTCCATTGATCTATATCTCTGTTTTGGTACCAGTACCATGCTGTTTTGGTTACTGTAGCCTTGTAGTATAGTTTGAAGTCAGGTAGTGTGATGCCTCCAGCTTTGTTCTTTTGGCTTAGAATTGACTTGGTAATGCAGGCTCTTTTTTGATTCCATATGAACTTTAAAGTAGTTTTTTCCAATTCTGTGAAGAAAGTCATTGGTAACTTGATGGGGATGGCATTGAATCTATAAATTACCTTGGGCAGTATGGCCATTTTCACAATATTGATTCTTCCTACTCATGAGCATGGAATGTTCTTCCATTTCTTTGTATCCTCTTTTATTTCATTGAGCAGTGGTTTGTAGTTCTCCTTGAAGAGGTCCTTCACATCCCTTGTAAGTTGGATTCCTAGGTATTTTATTCTCTTTGAAGGAATTGTGAATGGGATTTCACTCATGATTTGGCTCTCTGTTTGTCTGTTATTGGTGTATAAGAATGCTTGTGATTTTTGTACATTGATTTTGTATCCTGAGACTTTGCTGAAGTTGCTTATGAGCTTAAGGAGATTTTGGGCTGAGACAATGGGGTTTTCTAGATATACAATCCTGTCATCTGCAAACAGGGACAATTTGACTTCCTCTTTTCCTAATTGAATATCCTTTATTTCCTTCGCCTGCCTAATTGCCCTGGCCAGAACTTCCAACACTATGTTGAATAGGAGTGGTGAGAGAGGGCATCCCTGTCTTGTGCCAGTTTTCAAAGGGAATGCTTCCAGTTTTTGCCCATTCAGTATGATGTGGGCTGTGGATTTGTCATAGATAGCTCTTATTATTTTGACATATGTCCCATCAATACCTAATTTATTGAGAGTTTTTAGCATGAAGGGTTGTTGAATTTTGTCAAAGGCCTTTTCTGCATCTATTGAGATAATCATGTGGTTTTTGTCTTTGGTTCTGTTTATATGCTGGATTACATTTATTGATTTGAGCACATTGAACCAGCCTTGGATCCCAGGGATGAAGCCCACTTGATCATGGTGGATAAGCTTTTTGATATGCTGCTGGATTCAGTTTGCCAGTATTTTATTGAGGATTTTTGCATCAATGTTCATCAAGGATATTGGTCTAAAATTCTCTTTTTTTGTTGTGTCTCTGCCCGGCTTTGGTATCAGGATGATGCTGGCCTCCTAAAATGAGTTAGGGAGGATTCCCTCTTTTTCTATTGATTGGAATAGTTTCAGAAGGAATGGTACCAGTTCCTCCTTGTACCTCTGGTAGAATTCGGCTGTGAATCCATCTGGTCCTGGACTCTTTTTGGTTGGTAAGCTATTGATTATTGCCACAATTTCAGAGCCTGTTATTCATCTATTCAGAGATTCAACTTCTTCCTGGTTTAGTCTTGGGAGGGTGTATGTATCGAGGAATTTATCCATTTCTTCTAGATTTTCTAGTTTATTTGTGTAGCGGTGTTTGTAGTATTCTCTGATGGTAGTTTGTATTTGTGTGGGATTGGTGGTGATATCCCCTTTATCATTTTTTATTGAGTCTATTTGATTCTTCTCTCTTTTTTTCTTTATTAGTCTTGCTAGCGGTCTATCAATTTTGTTGATCCTTTCAAAAAACCAGCTCCTGGATTCATTAATTTTTTGAAGGGTTTTTTGTGTCTCTATTTCCTTCAGTTTTGCTCTGATTTTAGTTATTTCTTGCCTTCTGCTAGCTTTTGAATGTGTTTGCTCTTGCTTTCCTGGTTCTTTTAATTGTGATGTTAGGGTGTCAATATTGGATCTTTCCTGCTTTCTCTTGCGGGCATTTAGTGCTATAAATTTCCCACACACACCGCTTTGAATGTGTCCCAGAGATTCTGGTATGTTGTGTCTTTGTTCTCGTTGGTTTCAAAGAACATCTTTATTTCTGCCTTCATTTTGTTATGTACCCAGTAGTCATTCAGGAGCAGGTTGTTCAGTTTCCATGTTGTTGAGCGGTTTTGAGTGAGTTTCTTAATGCTGAGTTCTAGTTTGATTGCACTGTGGTCTGAGAGACAGTTTGCTATAATTTCTGTTCTTTTACATTTGCCGAGGAGAGCTTTACTTCCAAGTATGTGGTCAATTTTGGAATAGGTGTGGTGTGGTGCTGAAAAAAATGTATATTCTGTTGATTTGGGGTGGAGAGTTCTGTTGATGTCTATTAGGTCTGTTTGGTGCAGAGCTGAGTTCAATTCCTGGGTATCCTTGTTAACTTTCTGTCTCGTTGATCTGTCTAATGTTGACAGTGGGGTGTTAAAGTCTCCCACTGTGGGAGTCTAAGTCTCTTTGTAGGTCTCTCAGGACTTGCTTTATGAATCTGGGTGCTCTTGTATTGGGTGCCTATATATTTAGGATAGTTAGCTCTTCTTGTTGAATTGATCCCTTTACCATTATGTAATGGCCTTCTTTGTCTCTTTTGATCTTTGTTGGTTTAAAGTCTGTTTTATCAGAGACTAGGATTGCAACCCCTGCCTTTTTTTGTTTTCCGTTGGCTTGGTCGATCTTCCTCCATCCTTTTATTTTGAGCCTATGTGTCTCTCTGCATGTGAGATGGGTTTCCTGAATACAGCACACTGATGGGTCTTGACTCTTTATCCAATTTGCCAGTCTGTGTCTTTTAATTGGAGCATTTAGTCCATTTACATTTAAAGTTAATATTGTTATGTGTGAATTTGATCCTGTCATTATGATGTTAGCTGGTTATTTTGCTCGTTAGTTGATGCAGTTTCTTCCTAGTCTCAATGGTCTTTATATTTTGGCATGATTTTGCAGCGGCTGGTACCAGTTGTTCCTTTCCATATTTAGTGCTTCCTTCAGGAGCTCTTTTAGGGCAGGCCTGGTGGTGACAAAATCTCTCAGCATTTGCTTGTCTGTAAAGTATTTTATTTCTCTTTCACTTATGAAGCTTAGTTTGGCTGGATATGAAATTCTGGGTTGAAAATTTTTTCTTTAAGAATGTTGAATATTGGTCCCCACTCTCTTCTGGCTTGTAGAGTTTCTGCTGAGAGATCCGCTGTTAGTCTGATGGGCTTCCCTTTGTGGGTAACCTGACCTTTCTCTCTGGCTGCCCTTAACATTTTTTCCTTCATTTCAACTTCGGTGAATCTGACAATTATGTGTCTTGGAGTTGCTCTTCTCAAGGAGTATCTTTGTGGTGTTCTTTGTATTTCCTGAATCTGAATCTTGGCCTGCCTTGCTAGATTGGGGAAGTTCTCCTGGATAATATACTGCAGAGTGTTTTCCAACTTGGTTCCATTCTCCCCATCACTTTCAGGTACACCAATCAGATGTAGATTTGGTCTTTTCACATAGTCACATATTTCTTGGAGGCTTTGTTCATTTCTTTTTATTCTTTTTTCTCTAAACTTCCCTTCTCGCTTCATTTCATTCATTTCGTCTTCCATCACTGATACCCTTTCTTCCAGTTGATCGCATCGGCTCCTGAGGCTTCTGCATTCTTCATGTAGTTCTCGAGCCTTGGCTTTCAGCTCCATCAGCTCCTTTAAGCACTTCTCTGTATTGGTTATTCTAGTTATACATTCGTCTAAATTTTTTTCAAAGTGTTTAACTTCTTTGCCTTTGGTTTGAATTTCCTCCTGCAGCAAGGAGTATTTTGATTGTCTGAAGCCTTGTTCTCTCAACTCGTCAAAGTCATTCTCCGTCCAGCTTTGTTCCGTTGCTGGTGAGGAACTGTGTTCCTTTGGAGGAGGAGAGGCACTCTGCTTTTTATAGTTTCCAGTTTTTCTGCTCTGTGTTTCCCCCATCTTTGTGGTTTTATCTACTTTTGGTCTTTGATGATGGTGATGTACAGATGGGTTTTTGGTGTGGATGTCCTTTCTGTTTGTTAGTTTTCCTACTAACAGTCAGGACCCTCAGCTGCAGGTCTGTTGGAGTTTGCTAGAGGTCCACTCCAGACCCTGTTTCCCTGGGTATCAGCAGTGGTGTCTGCAGAACAGGGGATTTTCGTGAACTGCGAATGCTGCTGTCTGATCGTTCCTCTGGAAGTTTTGTCTCAGAGGAGTACCCGGCCGTGTGAGGTGTCAGTCTGCCCCTACTTGGGGGTGCCTCCCAGTTAGGCTGCTCAGGGGTCAGGGGTCAGAGACCCACTTGAGGAGGCAGTCTGCTGGTTCTCAGATCTCCAGCTGCGTGCTGGGAGAACCACTGCTGTCTTCAAAGCTGTCAGACAGGGACGTTTAAGTCTGCAGAGGTTACTGCTGTCTTTTTGTTTGTCTGTGCCCTGCCCCCAGAGGTGGAGCCTACAGAGGCAGGCAGTACTCCTTGAGCTGTGGTGGGCTCCACCCAGTTTGAGCTTCCTGGCTGCTTTGTTTACCTAAGCAGGCCTGGGCAATGGCAGGCGCCTCTCCCCCAGCCTCGCTGCTGCCTTGCAGTTTGATCTCAGACTGCTGTGCTAGCAATCAGCGAGACTCCATGGGCGTAGGACCCTCCGAGCCAGGTGCGGGATACAATCTCCTGGTGCGCCATTTTTTAAGCCTGTCAGAAAAGCGCAGTATTAAGAAAAGAAATGTTATCAAGAGTAAAAAATAAAGTAAACAAAATAAAGTCAACTGTAGGAAAAAATTACAGGCTAAGCATCTTAGAGCAATAATATTTACAAACAAAAAGTTGAAAATAAAAATAGTTTTTAATTATAAAAATCAAAAGAAATTTTAATATTGACCTAACAGGCCTGTAATGTTACCATAACATACCCTGTATAGGTCGCATGGGCATAAACATAGAGAAAACAAGAAAAAAAAATAGCCCAGAGCACCTCAGTAAATTATCCTTTCTAGAGATTAGTCATTTGCTTACTTTTAATGATAGTAACACAGGATGAAAAGGAATATGAAACATAATTACAATTATTTTTTAAATATTATGACTGCCTGTGCATGGTGAAGCAAAAGATTTTGTTTTTGTTGTTTCTTCTCCTTTTCTCTCTTCTCTAAATTAGTAACTTTTCTTAATGAAGGAAATGGACAATATTGATTCTAGACTTATTAGCCTCATGTATTGTTAATATTCAAGGAAATATACTTCGAGCAACAGATAACTGAATGTTATAATCAAGAAAATAATCAGTATTTTTTAAATTATAATTTAAGATAGTAGATTTAACTTATTTCTCATTACTCAAAAAAAATCAACAGCCAACTTTAACCATTTTCAATGGGATTGATGTTAAGGAAATACCATGTAAACATCCTCTATTAATCTTTGTTCTACATTTTTTGAAGAATAAACTAGATCACCCTGGATATAGATGAAGTATAGAAGATATACATTTTTGGCCAAATCAGTAAAATGTACACATAGATATCAATATTTCTTCATTCTCCCCATCAGTATTTATATTAGGTTAATAGGGCTGCCATAACAAAGTACCACACTGGATGAGTTAAACCATATAAGCTTATTTTCTCACAGTTCTGGATGTGAGAAGTCTGATATCAAGGTTTCAGCATGGTTGTTTTCTTCTAAGACCTCTCTCTTAGATTGTAGATGATTATCTTCTCCCTGTGTCATCACGTGGTCTTTCCTCTGTAAATGTCCATGTTTAATTTTTTTTTTTTCCTGCAAGGACATCAATCGTATTGGATTAAGGTCCATCCTAATGGCCTCATTTTAACTTAATTACCACTGTAAAGACTCTGTCTTCCAATACAGTTACATTCTGAGGTACTGGGGGCTAGTACTTTTAAACATATGAATTTTGCGGGAAGAAATTCAGTCCATAGCAGTATCTATTGCCATTTAAATCTTATACCATTTACATGCAACAATAAATTAGAAAATACTAAGTAATTAATATTTATGCAGCTGTTAATTTTGTCATGTCACCCACATGTATCTTGAAACTACTTCCCTATTATTTTGAATGCATGCATGCATGCACACACACTCACACACACCAAAATATTTCCTGTTATTACCAAACAATTCCCTTTCCCAAGAAGTTTTAAAGTTTTTAATGCATTTTCTGAAATAGTATTATTAAAACTCAACAAAAACATAATGGGGTTATTAAATAAATTGATACCAAGTAAATAATTAACAGAACTAATTAGAGAATATGGCCTCTAATTTAGGAAATTTATGTTATAGAAATTTTCTTTCAACTTTAGGTTCATGAAGTTGAGAAAAAAAGCTCACTGTTTCTGTTATCAAGGTAATTGATTAACTATTCACCACAATTTGAATGTGCAGTTTATGAATTAAGCATTATGAATTAAGCATCATCACATGTGAAAGAAGCAAAATATCTATCTCTTGAGAGACTAAATAAAAAAACAAACATATATTTTCTTCTTAACTCATTGAGTTGTGCTGAGAAAATAATTAGGTTTTCAGTTCTCTAGAGAAAAAATCTATAGGTTCTCAAAGGCATATGGTCGAAGTAATTTTTATGCTGAGTTAGGGAGCAATACAAATCTCTAAAAAACACTTGGCCAACAAGATTGGATATGGTCTAACAAGCAGAGAGGACCCAAAGATGTTACGTACAATATTTCTTAATATATTCAGACTCTTCAAGCATTTGGCAATGATAAAATATTTGGAATGTGTTTTCCCTATTTAAAAGAGTAAACAGCTACTTGGATAAATCTTCTCTCAAAGGTTTTATCTGCACAAAAGGAAGCATCCACATAGAATTTCATAGAAAATCTCCAACTCTTTTGAAATACATTCATAATTTTACATAATGGTTTTTATGTATAGTTTTACCAAACTTTGGAAGGGAACAATATTATATAATTTCAACTTTTTCTTTTCCTATACCCCATGTTATTTTAATAGATATTTTTCTTGAATAATAATTTATTTCTCCATGCCACCAATATTTTCTCAGTTAATTATTAATAAAAAATCCATATTCAACCTCAGCTATGTATGTCAAACCACCTATAGCATTTATCTCTAGTGTTTGAAACAAAGAAATAATTCCATGCTAAATTTCTCTTTATTTTTTTAGATAATTCTAATTTATTATGATCTACAATAACAGTTCCAAAATAATAAATTTGTCTAAGTTGAATATTGCCTATGATATATCAAGTGTTTATTGTAAAACCAATACATGCTTTAAATCTTTAATTATTCAATTACTAATAAAATATTTGGACTAAATTTCTAATACAATATTTTGGCTAATAGAGGATACTTAAATATAACTTTGTTAAAAACCTAACGATGATTCCTTATATTTTGCCTTTTAGTAAAACTTTCGATTAATATAATAGAAACTGTACTAAAATAGATTAAATGATTAAAGTTTAGTACTTCAGGTTATAAAATATTAACTCGAATATTAAAGAAAATACATGAAGGTGAATTTCATATCAGTAAGAATTATAAGCAACTTTATTTTTATTAGTTAATTGTTATTGAGGGTTGGAATGGATAAGGTATGGTAATGAATGAGAAAGATCAGGTCCTCAAATGCTAACTTTTAACTTATTTATCAATACATTTTCTTTCTCTCTTGGACAGAGATACTCCGAGAATACAGAACCGTCTATATAGTCTATTTGATTAGCTCCTTCTCGTTTTCATTTGCCTGGATTTTTCTGTCTGTTGCCCCTGTATGAGTAGAAGCCTGATTGAGTTGTACATGTATCTTTGGGTAAAGAAAGAACTTTCAAGAGACATATTGGCAAGAGTAGTTTTAAGAAAATAAATTTTTAGATTCTTAACTTTCATTTCTAGTCACTCCTGAACTTGAATTGCATTACAATTCTGTTGTCAAATCATCATGCATGTTTTTCCCCATTCTCTTTCACAATCACCCATCTCATACTCCTCTAATAAAGAAAATGGGCCACGCGCGGTGGCTCACGCCTGTAATCCCAGCACTTTGGGAGGCTGAGGCGGGCGGATCACAAGGTCAGAAGATCGAGACCATCCTGGCTAACATGGTGAAACGCCGTCTCTACTAAAAAAGTACAAAAAATTAGCCGGGTGTGGTGGCGGGCGCCTGTAATCCCAGCTACTCGGGAGGCTGAGGCAGGAGAATGGCGTGAACCCGGGGGACGGAGCTTGCAGTGAGCCGAGATCCCGCCACTGCACTCCAGCCTGGGAGACAGAGCAAGACTCAGTCTCAAAAAAAAAAAAAAGGAAAATGTACCTTTCATTCGTCCTAAATATTACTATAGTACATGGCTCTGGAATGTTAATCAAACCTCAGGGTGCCAAACAACAGTGAAATTCAAAATGAAAATATTCAATTGGTGAGCTGTCAAAAATCAAGGCATCTATATTTGTTTAGGGATTCTTCTCATTCTCTGCATTATATATTTTTGTGTAAAGAGCAAACTAAGACTTTGGAAACTGGCTATTTTAAATTATTTTGGAATTTTGTAATTTAGATTGCCAAAGAAGTTCAATTTACATTTTAAAGTGGGGCAACAGGAGTGAAGACAAGCTCTTCTTTTACCCATCAACTATTATTAAAGAATGTAACACTTGTAAGAGAGAGTCCCATGATAGCACTGCATACAACACTGTGAATAGTCAGGAAGGCAGTTCCTGTGCAGAGGGAGGAAGTTCCTGTGTCTTATCTATGTTAGAATAGGAGTTTTTGTGATTTTGTTAGAAAAACTTGAAAAATAACACCTCCCTAATAATAATTCCACTCTTTTCATTTTTACAATTCTAAATAGTAAAAACTGACTGCAGGCTTTTATTTGCCCATGTCTTCATCTATGTCTAATTTGCATATTTTTTTATTTCAAGGTGAAGGAAGTGAAAATTTTTGTATATAATTTCAGTAAACCAACACTATAATTTTAAACAGAAATTGAACTTTATATAGGTAAATATGGAAATAGAAGACTTTTCATATACATCAATAATAAGAAACATTTTTATTTTCTTGAAAGCTTATTTAGATGACTAGCAGAGATATTTCCATAAAACCTTATCAAAAGATTATCAGATGCTGTATTTTCACAATCTTGTTTTACCTGAGCATTTGGCTCCTGTTCAATGAAACTTTTCTTTGTTCATCTTCTAGTCTTAAATTGAATTTATTTTGAGTTGTAATAGTTTTTATGAACAAATATAAATAACCCACTTTGACATAACTGGACCATTCTCTCCAAGAAGTGGTTCTGATTTTGGCTCTGCCCCTGTCCAGTGAGCACTAAGAAGAGACATTCTTGTCATTCTCTTTATTTTCCCTTGACAATTGCTTTTATTTCATGCTATCAACCTGGGGCTTGTGGAGAGAATACAAATATTGAATGGTTCTTCAATTTTTGGAACGACTGAAGTAAAATTTAAAATACCCCATGAAAGAGACATTTTGATTTACACCTTAGTGAAGACTGGACTAGAACGAGAAGAAATAAGATAGACACATTTAAAAAGGAAGGAATATGATAGATGTTTTGACAAGAAGGCCAAAATGATATTCATAGATTATCTGTCTATTGGTACCCAATCATAGGTACAGGCACAAAACATCTCTTGGTGAGAAGTTGTAAAGGAAAAACTTTCTGTACTTCACACTGTATCTACAGTTGCCTCTGGGCATTCATTTTATATATTTATTTTCAATGTGCTTCTAGAAATTTGCACTTCATATACCCCATACATAGGAAGAAAGTATGAATATAGATAATAAAATATTATTGCCCTTAAATGAGTAATATAATTAACTAATTCTATAGATATTATTGGAAAATTTAAGAATGTATTTAAAATTTCAAAGGGATCATGCTTAACTACTTTTATGTAAAACTGCTTTTCTATTGGCTATTTTCATAGACTGATACTTTATTTCCATAATGGTATAAAAATGCATCGCTTGTGATAAGTCATTGAAGTGGACAAATTGTAACCAAAGAAAACAGCTTTGTCAAACATGATACTTCTGCACAACTTAGCTCCTTTTTATAACATGATTGTCCCCCATGTTTGGGCTGTGTTGTGTGCGCCATTACTTAATTACTTTTTTTTTTTTTTTTTTTGAGACGGAGTCTTGCTCTGTTGCCCAGGCTGGAGTGCAGTGGCGCGATCTCGGCTCACTGCAAACTCCGCCTCCCGGGTTCACGCCATTCTCCTGCCTCAGCCTCCCGAGTAGCTGGGACTACAGGCGCCCGCTACCACGCCTGCTAATTTTTGTGTGTGTGTTTAGTAGAGACGGGGTTTCACCGTGTTGGCCAGGATGGTCTTGATCTCTTGACCTCGTGATCCACCCGCCTCAGCCTCCCAAAGTGCTGGGATTACAGGCGTGAGCCACCGCGCCTGGCCTGTATGCCATTACTTTAAGGGGATCAGGATATCTGAATATTATGGTGACCTTAAAATAACCTCACAAAAATGAATTTTATGTTAAATTTAATAATGATTTTCTACCAAATAAGGTTCTATTTTATATATTTTCATTTCATACGCATATATACGTTTAGGGGCGTGTGTGTGTGTGGGGTGTGTGTGTGTGTGTGTGTGTATATATACGTATATATACACATATATACGTATATATACGTGTGTGTGTGTATATATATATATATATATATATATAAAATTTCCTATGACTTTAGGATCTGCCCTCTGGGCCTATAGCTCATACTTCTAGGCCCAATTCTTTGCCTTCAGAGTTATTTTTACTGCTTTTTGAGCAGAAGCAGCTATTTGAACCCAAGTAGTTTAATCAGCCTGTTTCCTGCCTGAATAATTTGAGTCCAACAAATTTTTCCTTAATAGTTCCTTCCTCAATTTATCTCTTTTTTCTTGCATTTTACTGTAAGCAGCAAGAGTAAACATGGCTACACCTTAAATACTTTGCCTGAAAATCTCCTCCGTTAAATAACCGAGTTCATCTCTTACAAGTTCTACTTTCCACCCAAATATAGGACAAAATTAAGCCAAGTTTTTGCCACTATATGTCAACAATCACTTTCCTGCATTTTCCAATAACACATTCCTCATTTTCCTCTCAACTGTCACCAAAAGATCCTTTGTGTTTATTTTTTACCAAGGTTCTATTCAGGACTATTTATGTATTCTCTTAGAAGATAGCAGCTTAGTCTACCATACTTCTCACTCCTTGTGAGCCCTAATTTATTATCCATTTCTAAAGCCACTTCTACGTTTTTAGGATTTGTTATACAGAAGCAACCCACCTCTGGTAACAAACTCTATTACTTTCCCAGGGATGCCATAAAAATTACCACAATTGGGTAGCTTAACATGACAGAATTTAATCTCTTGTAGTTCTGAAGGCCAGCAATATAAAACCAGGATGTTAGCAAGGCTATACTCTCTCCAGAGGCTCTAGGAGATAATCTGTTTCTTGCCTCTTCCAGATTCTGGTGATTGCAGATGTTCCCTGGCTTGTGGCCCATCATTTCAATTTCTTTTTTTATGTTCACATAGCTGCCTCTTCTCTGTATGTGTCTTCTCTGTATGTTTATCTAAAAACTTTGCATTCCTGTTTCTTATAAAAAGACATGCAATTGGATTGAGGGCTGCAGTTAACTCATAATTCTATGTTGTCTCTGCATCCTTTTTGAATGCAAGTTTAACTCATATTGGAAGCAGGACTTGGTCATCCTTGACACAGGTTTCCAGTTCTACACCACACTCAAATGGCTCAAGCCAGTGGCCAGAGATAAGATCTTAGAGGCATCTCTCCAGCCCAGCAGCCTGGGCTCCTTGCTTTCCTGTTGATTCCTTTAAGTTTACCATTCAGGCATTTGTCCACAAACTTAAAGTGAATACCTCATTCTATTATACATACCACAAGTTGCCTGCCAAAAACTTCTCTCTCCTTGCCTGACTCCATTCCTGCCTCATGTGACCCAGGGACCAATGACTTCTCTACAGACACATTATGTCCTCCTTACCCAGAATCTGAAAGTAAAATATTTGAACTTCTTTCCTGTTGTGGTGCATTGAATTTGTGGCTTTCATTTGAAGAACTAGGGGCTACCCCAGGCTGGGTTTTCCCCAGGATATCAGGAGGAACACGAAGTCAGGATCCAAGTGTCAGAGCAATGGTCAGACAGGATAAACAGAACACAGGTCAGACATATATCACAGGAGTGTCTGCCAGTATAAGCAAGTGTGTCACTTGACAGACCCCCTGTTCTTGGTTTGGACAACTACACATTAAGCTGTGTGCCAGGTAAGGGAACTTTCCTGTGATAGGTACATGTGAACACCCATGTCTAGGTCCCTCGCATTTCCCAGTAGGGTAGGATTGCCAGCTGCTCTGGTACTAGAACTCCTGTTGAGCTGAGGGCTTTCAAAACGGGGGTTCATTGTGGGGAGGAAAATATTATCCTGGAAATATCCTTAACTTAATCACATCTTTTGTGCATATAGGGTAATAGTCAAAATTTCTGGAGATTAGAATGTGGACATGTATTTTTTGGGGCCATTATTTGGCCTAATACCAGGTTGTTTAACTCTGGACTATTTAAATGGGTTTTCAACTGAATGGACTAATTTATAAGAATGACACATTTTCCTGATTAATTGTCCTGTTTCAAAGGAATAGTTCTTATTCTTACGGATTCTCTTGAGCTATCCTCTCAACCATGGAAACAAGTAGTTTTTCACAAGGAAGAAAGGAAAAAAAAAACTTGGCAATGTCTTTCTAAACATTCAAGTCTCAAATCCTATTTCCATTTGGAAAGGAAAGAAAAATAAAGAAGGATTTTGAAGGCATTATAGTTTAATTCTCTTTTCCCAGGATTGGCCCTTATCATCCCATAACTCATTCATGGACAGATTCTAGGTCACATAATTCTTGTTTAACCAGGTATGTGCAGTCTAAGCTGTGACATTTTATAAGCATGTTTTTGTGGAGGTGAGGCAAAACTGCTTCCTCACAACAAGGAATAAGCATACATTTATTATTTTTATTGAAAGGATATATGCCTTTATTCTTGCTGGGAATATGGTGAAACACATTTGAATATCACAGTAATTTTTAAACCGAATAACCCAATAGCATCTTCATTAAATTAAAAAAAAGGTAATGCTGAAAATAAGGTGAGACAACAATTGAAAACCCATAACAATTATGTGTCCAAAAATAATTCTAAAGGATTTATTTGTAAGTCACAAATATTTACAAATCTTGCTTTGAAATTATTAACTTCTAGTATATACAATCATTATTTTTTGTGGAATGACTAATATATCAGGGAAATAATTGTTATACAACCAAGGATACATTATTTTTGTTATGTTCCTTACCTCCATTTCTGGGGTAATTTAAGGGATTTTTACCTTCTATTGTCTGAGTGATTTAAGCAACTTAGTTAATAAGCGCTTTTTTCCCCTAACCTCATACCATTTATTTCATTTGCTTAGAATTTGTCCAAAGTGACCCAGACAATAAAAAATATCAAAAAAGTGTAAACACTATTTTTAATTTCAAATGTAAACATTTGGTATAAAAGTCTAAATTAGCTTTACATGTTTTCAGTGATATTCATAGTATGATTTGAATCAAGACCTTACATCTGTGTGCTTGGTAATAGTCTGAAATCATACTCATTTCTGACACAGCAGGTTTTTAATAGCCCTGTAAAAACCAGAACATCATTACTTCAGGCAAGGTGACAGGGATAATCACTTTCTATAATTCATGTTTAATACCTGAATGCCAGGGAGGAATCATTATGTCCTTGGTCCAAAATTTTTAACCACACTACATTATCTGCCCTCCAGAAAATATTTCTGAGAATTACTAGAGTGACTCTAGTACAAAAAGACTGCATTAGATTTTTGTCCACTTTTGAAAATGTTGTAATTCAAAGTAATACTTGAACTGCTAACATGCAATACAGAGTTTATAGCTTTTCACAGTAGTAAGTCTCCTAGCCAGTCTAGAAATCTGATGAGATCTTTTATCTGCACCTTTTGTCAAATAAAATGGCATCTCATGAAAAAGAAGTTGGAAGCATTTAGAATATAAAATATAGTCATGTTATTGTTTAAAAACTAGGTTTTAATATATATGTGTTCATGTGTTTTCCCTGAAGTTTGTTTATTTTGTAACTGGTGATACTTCGTCTGAAATGATGTAAATTAATATGCTCTATTTAAAAAGTTAAAAATGAGGAAGCCTCCACGTGTAATGCAATCTTGCATTTATTCTTTAATGTGTAAATATGATAGATCCTATCTATGTATAAATCCTGCTCTCACCACACAAATGATGCATCCTGCTCTTACCATTTAAATGTGCTCATGCATGTGGTGTATGTGTTTTGTAAGTCACATTTTTCTTCTTTTCCTGATATTACCAAAGGAAGAAAATCATTATTCTTTTATTTATGGACTAACTTGAGCAATTATTTTGCTAATGATTTTAGAAACTTTAACAGGTTTCATTAAAACTACATTATATTCATCCATTATTTAGCTTACTAATGCCTATCTCTAGAAATTCATCCTGGCTTGGCTTACTCCTTTAAAGTTCTGGCATTTGAGTTGCATATAGAGCATAAGTGATTCGGGAAAGAGTTGTTCTTGCCCTGGCCTGTGATAATTGGACCCTCACTCTTCCCAATATGAAATATACCCAGTGTGCTCTGCTGTGCATAGCAAATAAAGAACAAGGTCAAAGAATTAGCAATTATAGTTCCAAGGAGACTCATTTACTTATTGAACATTTTTAGGTGCTGGAATATACCACATGTAGATACAAATCTCTGCCGCCAGTGAAGCTTATATTTTTTGTGAGAGGAGATAGATTTGCAACAAATAAAGAATAAACACTGTAGTTTACATAGTGCAGTAGAAATTGATAAGTGCAAGAAAAAAAAGGTAGAACCAGCCTGTTGGTGGAGAGAGATTGGGTGGATCACCTGAGGTCAGGAGTTCGAGACCAGCCTGACCACCATGGTGAAATCCTACCTCTAAAAATACAAAAATTAGCTGGGCTTGGTGGCCCGCGTCTGTAGTCCCAGCTACTTGGGAGGCTGAGGCAGGAGAATCACCTGAGCCTGGGAGGCAGAGTTTGCAGTGAGCCAAGATCGCGCCATTGTACTCCAGCCTGGGTGGCAGAGCAAGACTCCATCTCAAAAAATAATACTAATAATAAATTGGTGTGTTCTGGTTTTACCTTACTAAGAAACTAAAAAAGTGACATTTGAGTCAAGAATAAAGAAGATGAGATAAACCATGCATATATTTAGAGAAACAGCATTCCAGACAGAGAGAGGAGCCAATCCAAAGTACTGAAGCAGTACCAAGCCCGCTCTGTTATACATGTATATACTGTGCGATATACATCTTCTATATAGATCTATAATAGGGCACATATGTAAGAAGATACATAATATATCTTCTATATATGTATATCTGTATCTATAGTAGGGCGTATATATAAGGATATATATATTTTATGTCTTCTTTATATATCATATCTTTTATATCTTATATGTATTTTTATTTCTTCTATATATATTCTCTACATATTTTTTAATATGTATGTAAATAGAAATATAAGAGGAAATTTTTAAATAAATAATTAAATATTTTAGCTCTGGAAAATAGAAATGTGTAACAAAACAAAAATGTAGTAGTGAAATAAAATATTTAACAAATCTAAGAGTAATTATTATCTAAAGTAGAAATAAATGAAGATAAAAATTGAAATAGGATGGCAGAAATGATTGGTGGTGTTTTTAGGGGTGTTATTTTAGTGTTTCAGCAGGACATGTACATAATAAAGTTTAATAGCACTTTCTTTTTAATACTTTTTGCTCTAAGAATAGTCAATCCAAAGAAAAATGGAGTAGCCTGCCCTTGGCAGTGAGAATTTTGCTTTCCTTAATTAGTAAGCTTTTACTCATCTTGCTATAGTAAGATTAAAAAAAACTTATTTGTAACATGTTATAAAAGATGGGACATCTTCAATTTTAAATCCAGTTTTAATTTTTTAGTAAAACTAAAGATCACTTACTTTGAAATCTTGTGAACTACCTCTGGATGTTTTCTATCTACCAGCTCTAAACTTTGTGCTCATACTCCATACAGTCACTTAGCACATCATATGCTTTATGTTAGTCACTTCCTTAAGTCCTTAGCATACACAATGGTGAAAAAGAAAAAGAAGAAAAATAAAAAAGAGTCTCTAGTCCTCAAATTTTACACGTCTGTTTGAAGGTAACAAAAATATGCCCCCAAATCTAGTGCTGACAAATATCCAGTTGGAAATAAAGTGGGACTAGATGGGAGATTTCCTAGTTAACAGGTGGTAGTGAGACAGACCTCTCTGAGAAGGTAACACTTTAGGTGACAGGATAGGAATATTTAGTGAAAGAATGTTGCAAGCAATAGCAACAACCAAATCCAAGGTTTCAGAGGAAGAAACAAATGTTGCTAGTTAGAAGAACATAAAACAATAATACTGCAACTTGAGTATAAGACTGGAGGAGAGGGTGAACAGGAGAGAAACAGAAAGAAGCAGAGAGAAACAGAAAGAGACAGAGAATTGGAAAACAAAGCTAGAGATGTAGGCATGATTTAGTTCAAATTGGTCTAATTTACCAAACAGAAAATACAGATTTCATTCTAAATGTGATTGCTTAGAGAGGGCTAAATTTTATCATCTCATGTAAATTTTAAAATAACATCCTGGGAATAAATTATAAAGAAGGAAAAATAGAAGCAGAGAAAGCCGGCAGAGGACTATTTCAGATGGTGTGTGATGACAGAGGATGACAAAAGCTTGGATCAGGGAGGTGATGTTAGCTATGAAAGCAAACAGTCAGGATATATTTTTGTGGTAAAATTAATGGAATTTGCTGATGGCTTAACTATTTGGGGGATGGAGAAAGATGTTACCAGCAATGATGCCTAAGTGTTTGGCTTGAGCACCTTGGTTGGTTGTACTGAGTTGGTGTCTGGGGAAATAATGAAGACTTTCACTTAAATTAAAATAGGAATGCTAGCCTAATATGCAAATCCTCATTATATTAACCCAAATCATCAAATCAAATATGCATCACTTTCTAATTTTTTATTTTATTTATTTACTTATTTTTCAATTGTTTTAAATAATAAAAAATATAATCTATTTTATATAGTTATATTTTTCATTAAATTAAATTTTTCAAATCTTATTAAAATAAAATTTGGCTAAATTTCTTGTCAAGAGTCTCTTTCCCTATCTGTAGAAGATAGCTATTGAAAGTATTACAAAGACCTGTGTCCGGAACTGAGTCGCGCATAAAACAGTCTTAGAAAATGTTCCCCATAGACAGTATTATACTGAGATGCAAGTTATTTCTTTTGGTAATTCTTGTAAAATCTATTCAGAGGAGAATATTTCAAAGCAATTCTGTAGCCATGCTGTGTTATTACACTCATTTCAGCTAAGAATACAATGTAGTGATTATTGTATTTTTATGATCTTGCATCCCTTTTATATGTGTTTAAATGTCTCTTAGAAGATGACTATGAAGATTGCCAAACACTTCAGCATAAAAGTCATACTCTTTTTATTTTATGATCCAGAAAATATCAACAGAGTATCTTTTTTTCCCTCAAGATTAAAAATATCGCCCTAGATTGTCGAGCACAATCTAAGTTTGTATTTGTGAGAGTTTCTCGAAGTCCTAAGGGGAAAATCATTGTCATTTTTTTTTTATTTGAAAAAGGTATTTGGTAACGAAGAAAACTTAGGGGCCGATTGAAAATCACCACCACTTGAATATACTTAAAAAAGGCATAAATCAGTTTACAGTATATAAAACAGAAAATAAATAACATACTGATTAAAAGAAAAATAGGTTCCTGCAAATGTGGATTACATTATCAAGTTTCCAATAAATTCATAAGCTCATGTATTTCCACTTTATTCTTTTTAAGTCAAACTCAATAGCTCATCTTTAAAGGTGTCTTAAACATACAGGTACAGCCATGTTACATTACCATATTTGATGTAAAATGCAAATTTACTACTAAAATAACTTTATTCCTATTTCACTGAAATTTTAATTATGACAAGATTATTTCTTTCTTCACATGCATTTGGAAAAATTAGAATAAATAAGCTAATAGAACATTTTAGCTCAAATATACTCATATATCTCTCTTTTTAACTTAAAATAGGTTTTTTTCTGATTACTTATAATACAGACAGAAAAATTGTGTTAATATATAAAAGGTAAAGATTAAAAATAATCAAGACACTCCTTTCCTATATATAACACTGCTATAAAATCATATATATTCAGACTTTGTATGCATATATAGATGTTTCTTGTTACTATAATATCAAATCATTAAATATTTGCTCTTTGGTAACATATTGTTTACCAAGTATTAATATGGATACCATCATGGGTTAACACATGGCCACATCATTGTTTTGGCTTGTCACAAGTAATTTACTTATAAATTATGTGACAAAATTTGTTAGTGTTTATATTAACATATTTTATCATTCACTATATTTCATTCAGACAAGAGCAAGCGAAAATTACAAACAACTTTTACAGTATATGCAAGGCTTTGGAGGAAATAAATATGTTAATAATATAGTGATCATAATAACTATTATTTATTGAGTACTTACCATATGCTAAGTTTCTTTCTATAAAACCTTCTATAAGATATATTTGTATTATTAATCCCATTTTAAAGATGAAGGAATTGAGATGCAGAAAGTATCTTTCCCATGGTTACCCAGCTAGGATTTAAATGCACAGACTAATACCAGAAACTTGGAACTATAGAAATACTGCATTATTGCAACGTGTTTGGGTGATGTGTACATTGTTTATGATTCCATTGAGCCTCATACATAATGGCAACATAATTTTTAAATATAAAAACTGATATATTTTTATCCCCCAAATAACATCTTATTCATTGAAATAATGCTCAGCTTTAGACAAAGCCTTGGCCAAGGCTGAGATTCAAACATGGCTATCACTATTTGGTGTCCAGTGAAATGTTTTTGAATCTAGTAGATTTTTACAAGCATTTTGTGTAGGACAGTTAAATGGCTACATCATCTGAAGAGTGTTGAACTGAGAGCATAGGGTTTATTTGTAAGTTGGCTTCCCTAACCCACCTCCAAGTGCTTGTGCGTGAGCCTTAGGGAAATGGCTATAAAGATGAACAGAACACTCTGTTTGCACAAAAGTATTGTATCTTTGGGGGTAAGAACAGCAATGCATTGAAGCTGAAGCAAGAAAAGTAACCCAAATGGGGCCACAGAGGTCTGTTAAACAGCTATTTGTTAACCAGATATGAATATCTCTCATTATAGACCTCAAAACTACAAAAGAGTTTTGTTAATCAAGGTCTTCAACCAGTTGCTAATGACACCTGAGTCCTGAAAGTGTTGGTGATTGAAGAGGAATAACCATTTAATGATACAGCTCATTAGTAGAAGAATGATGCTCAAAATCTGTGTCCTGGGTCCCAAGGAATTCAGAAAATGGTTGAGAGGAGAATATCACAAGAGTCAAAGGACCTGAGTTGGTCAGCAAAACATGGGGGATTAATATCAACATAAATCAACTTCAAAATATTCACAAATATGAATTTGCAAGACCTGAGATACATTGGAATAGTTGGCAGTATCTCTAGACAACCATTAATGTAGATGATTTTTGATGGAAGGAATATGTCACACAGGAATTATACTGTTTTTCAAAATCTCAGCCAACTTTTTCTCAGTAAAAATGTCTTGCTTGATTGCAGACATAATTTGACCTATTTTAAGCCAGGATAGTAAGTTTCCAACCCTGCCTCAATGATTAAATGTATGATATTGCACTAAAATACATATGTGCCAATCCTCAGGTAAATAGTGACTTATGAGACTAATAAAAGCTCCTATGGACAAAATGGTGCAAGTTAAAACTGATTTTGATATTATATTAATAGCTACCACCTGTCTTATACCTAATAGAAATTACACCTGATAATAGTTCCCACCTAATTCAGCTGTTGAGGGAATTAAAGAATACAGGTAAATTGTACTAACATTTGTGAAGTCCTTAAAACATGCAAGACACTGTTTTAAGTACTTTATATATAAATTTATTTTTTCTCATTAAGAGTCTATAAAATATCATTAATAATTATACCTAAAGCAGTAAAAATGATAACAGCAGATTTTATAAAGCACTTACCTGTGGTCCAGATACTGTTGTAGGTGATTAGCTACATTTCATAAAGAAGAGAACCTAAAGCACATAGAAGTGAAGCAATTTTCTTAAAGTTTCCTAGGTGTTCATGAAAGAACCCGGATACTCACTTGGGCAGTCAGGCTCCTGCTGCCCATTTAAGAAGTAAGTATTCCATGGTGTCTTCAGAAAAGTGCTCAACAAATTATTATTACTACTATTGTTATTGGATTATTGTTATCATAGGCCAGATGCTTTTCTCACATTATTACTAATCTCTTGCACAAAAGGAAACCCTGGTAGAAAGATATCTGGGTCACTAGGCACAAAATTATCAGCTCCTAGTTAATCTTGCTAACGGTCTATCAATTTTGTTCATTTTTTCAAAGAACCAGCTTTTTGTTTCATTTTTCTGTTTCAATTTCATTTCACTCTTCTCTGATCTTTTCTTCTGCATGGTTGGGGTTTGGTTTGTTTTGTTTCTCAATTTCTTTGAGATGTGGCATTAGGTTGTCTCTTTCAGACTTTTTGATGTAGGTGTTTAATGCTATAAACTTTCATTTTAGCACCACTTTGCTCTATCCCAAAAGTTTTGATAAGTTGTGTCACCGTTATCATTCGGTTCAAAGAATTCTTAAATTCCCATCTTGATTTTATTGTTAACCGAAAAATAATTCAAGAGTGGATTAACATCTATGAATTTATATAGTTCTGAAGTTTCCTTATGAGTTACTTTCCAGTTTTATTCCACTGTGGTCTAAAAGGTACTTGATTTATCCTAGATACAAAGAGTAATTCCTAATGCTTAATGTTGTGTGTATATATATATGTGTGTGTGTGTGTGTGTGTGTATATATACACACATAATAAAAAAGTCAACTAAAACTAAGCCTATTTAAATGGTTTCTATTAGCCATGTTGTTGCCTTAAAATACTTATCTCTTAGACAACTTTTCCTTTTAAAACAACTGATAATAGATTTTAAACACACATTAAAGCACATATTCTGGTAAATCACCTCAGAGTAAAGTACAGTGTGCAACTTTAATGATAAGACAGCATTGCTGTTTGCAAAGCTTAGTTGTCATCCAGGAATCTTCCCATTCATCTTCAATGGATGGCTATCACTGTGGTCTTCATTAATTTCCAGACTGAACCTTTTCAAAGAGAGTTCTACAAACTTGTCTGAATTGACAGTTGGATGATTAAATTCAGTTGGCTGGTTAAGTAATTAGAGGAAATAAAATTTCAAAAGATGAGATACTTTATCTATTAGGTCTGTGCAATATGTAGCTAATATAGGTTTAAGCTTATTTACTTGTATTATGCTTCTTCCTGCTTGCCTAACATTTTTCAGGGTCAATATACCAGGTTCTGTTAAGATAATCATCTAACTATATAAAATTATATTCCTTTAATTAAATACTGGTGATCTATCTTATCTACAAGGCTTCAGTAGGAGTATTACTGGGTGTATGTGTTAAGATTAGAAGACTCCTTGAATGTTATTAATGTAAATGGATTCAATATTGAAGTTTCAGGTGTTTCTATGTTTGGATCGCTTCTCAGAACATTCTGAATAACTTACAATCCAATATTGTGATTCACAGACTTGGCACTGTTTCCTTAGCTAGAGTTGGAACCCCTGGCAAACTGCTCACTACCTTTCCTATAACCCATCTATTAAATTAAAAAGCATTATCCTTCAAAGACCTTTCTATAGCTGTCTTTGTGCATTTACTATGCAGAACATCTCCTTAAAGCCCTTGATATTGTCAATAGGAAGCTCTCAGAACTAGTAAAAAAGCTATTTGAAATATTTATCAAGCCAGTTTTCTCTGTGTATTCCTCTAGAGACTTGCATTGGAGGGGATAGCATGAATGTAAATCTTTTATTGGTAGTGTCCTTGTTAAATCAGTTGTGATTGATAGGTCTCATCCCTTGAGACATTTGGCCTCAGAATCCCATGTGAAGAATAATAACAATAATCATTGTTTGTGATAGAATCATTGCTATCTCATGTAGCATATTTAACAGCTCTGAGGTATCTCTTTTTACTCTCAAAATACAATGTAGTAGTCATATAACTACAATTTCTTTATTTAAGAAAATAGAGTTGTTATTCCCATACTATTATTATTTTTATGTTTTAGACCAATATTTATATTGTTAACTGGCACAGAAACAAGTAGTAAAATAAATTACCTGAACACAAATGATTAATGAGTTTTACCTTGGTATAATCTGCTTCTTAATAACTAAAATCTTTAAATTATGGTTCATAATTCTGTGTAAGTTAAGATTTGAAATTTTCAGACCTGAAAATCATTGATTGTTTGATATGAAATTTAAAATGGGAATATATTTCAGACATGAGTTTTCCTTCCAGATTTGCTTATATGTTACTGTAGATTAGAAATTGTCACAGTGTTAGTGTTTTCACAATTTGGTATCTCCATTTAGTGCCAATCTAGTCTGATCTATATAACCTAGATATTATATTATTTAAAAAAAAACCTTGTATCTCAGTAAACTAAGGGAGTCTATCATCACATATATTTTTGTGAAATTACATGAATTTAAATTAAAAATATTTGTATCACTAATTCATACATATGTTTTCCTGTTGCATTCATGTCTTCTTATCTTACTCCATGTTGTACGATGAAAACAAGACAAGCAAAACAAAGAAAAACTTTAAAAACAAACAAGTTTACAGAGGACAGCCTAGATTTGAGTATCTTCAAAGAAAATGTATAAATCTTTAAAATTAGTGTGCTTTGGTATTGTATGCTATGAGAAAAATTATCTCAAATCAGGTAAGCACTTCCTAAGAAAGAGATTAAAATATATCTATGCAACAATATATGATAAATTTCTTTCATCCAGTTAAATGTCTTTTGGTGAAATTGTTTAAAAAGAAATAGAATCCAAGATTTGCTTCTTAGACCTATTTCAAAATTATACAATAGATCTAGATGTTGCCATGTTTACATATATATTTCTTTAAAAAAAAAAGATATTTACATTGTCTTAAACAAAAGCAAGATCTGCCAGAGCTTTCAGGTTGTTATCTCTAAGAGGATCCTTGAGTCATTAGGATGGTTACTCTGATATCTACTCTTGTTTTTCCACCAGAAAAGATTACCTAACACATTAATCTTACAACAAAAGTATCAGACAGACAGCAGTCTATAAGGCAGGCAGTCTCTTTTTACTGTACTCTGTGTGGACTTCACTAAAGTCCTGATTGGATGAGGAGGCAGCAGTCGGAACTATCTCCTGTTGCATTATGATAATAACACATGGGAGAGGTTAACTATTACAGATATTACTTTAAAATTACCTACTACAGGCATTACTTTAACTGATATTACTTTAACTACTACAGATATTACTTTAACTGATTCGACATAACTAATAAGGTAACATCAAAACAGTAGTCTAGGAACTTTAATTGAAGTGAGGAAGGTCATATATTAGTTGATAACCCTGCTTACTTTACTTCTAATTCCCAGTCTAGGTTTTTGGATCAAATTCATTGTAAAAACAGTCTGTTTTCTCACTGAGATAAACAATGTCAAATGTAGTTTCCTTAACACATTCTACAAAGGAACACATGTTATATCAAAAAAAAATTTATCTGTTTGGTATTAAAGTGGCTATTTAAAAACAAATGCAGCATACCTCAGTTATTTGCATTTATAAATTTTGCTGCATTTTGATTTTGAAGTAATTCTACATTTTTTATGTAATTCTAACTATGAAGCTCCTGACCCTATACTGTTCAATCTTATAACTAGACAAAAACAAATCTAATATCTCTTAACATTTTTTATAGTTATATCTTTTCTTTCTGTCCATTATGTGATTATATTAAGGCATCAAAAGCATTTACCATAATGCACATAAGTAGAATATTGGTCTTGTGAAACACTAACAGTTCATCAAATTTTGTATCTTCCAGTGTTCACTACCTATTTTGTTGTTGTTGTTAAAAACTGATTTAATAGTTTAAGGGTCCAAGACATTTGTCTATTAGAAACTCAAATTTCAGAGATGAAAATTTTAACAATTGGGATGGAACACATTTTCATCATAAGTGGCTTATCACAATCACATATTTCCCTAAATATGTTGTATGATAACAGATAAAACTCTTGACTAGAGTTGATGATATTTATTTTGGTCCTCCATCTGGCTTACCTTGTTTTAAGTTCCAAGTCTTTTAGCAAATACAGATGTTAATTTTTTAGCTAATTTTGTAGAAATCTAAGTGAATCATGCATGTGTATATATGTTTCAATATGTAAATACATACACACAACATGCAATGTGTTAAATAAATGTATTTTAATGAGGAAATATGGCCAAGGGAGCATAACTTAAAGGAAAAGCCTTTGGTTTATATAACAAAAGAACATACACACAGAGTTTAAGAACGTCTACTTTCAGGCATGAACTAAATCTCAACTAAAAAAAGATATGTTGTGGTAAAGGAACAAAGTTCAGTCATTCATCATTATTACTAATTAAGTAGTACAAATATTAGGATAAGATTTTAAAATTAACATTTTTAATTGTATAATTTAACGTTCAGTGAGGCATACTTAACTTGGCGTACTTTCCTAAATATGGAAAGTTATGCCCTGAAATTTTAGCTTCTACTTTCTTTTTATAAGTTGTGATTTGACTAAAATTTAGAAAGAATTAGTTCAGATTCAAGAAAGAGCAAACTCTTAGCTTATTTTCTTCAATTAGTGTACTGAAATTCTACCTCTCAAAATGAGTCACATGATGAGTGTTGCATAAGCTTCTTGCCAAAAACACTTATTCTAAAATGAGTATTTTAGAAATAAATATCTTTTATTAGGCATTTTTCTTTCACTTGTCATTATTTGCTCAGGGAGAAACTGGGCTTTATAAAAAGCAGGGATGTTTTATACATAGTAACAGACTGAATTACACACTACACACACATATACACATGTAATTTTGAAGATTATCTTATGGTAAGAGTGATAAGTTCCAGTCCAAGTCTTCCGTTTTCACAATGAAAAAATAAGTCTTCTATGAGGATAGGGGAAATTAAAGTCTGGAATATTTTAGGGCAAAATATATGTCTTTAAATAGTAGAATCAAAAATCAGTGTACTGGGTAATAGTAAAAAAGTTTCTACGCAGTTTTGTGTGTGAAGTTGAGGTTTTTAAACATGATTTTTAGTTGCAAATTGTCAGCTTAGTTTTCTGACTTTTTCTAGCAGTTACAGGCTACGTAATTCAGTTAGGGCAAAGATGGACAGCTGAGTTCAAGTAGATGTGTCTATTCAAGCACATGTAATAGAAGGAGAAGGAAAATGTGGTTGGGAGTATTGGCTAGAAAATGATTAATAATGAGAGACAATTGATCTCACATATATAGAGATGCAAGTGAAAATTGGAGAAAGGTGGAAAATTAAAAATAAACAAATTGATGAGGTCTGGATTGAAGTTCCTTGATTGAAAGTTTATTTCAAATGCTTGACATACAGTAATTAATGATTTTGCATAAATCTGACCTCATAGTTATTGTGGGCTCCTCCCTTACCCCATATGGAGAAAATCTTGGAAATCCATTGATCATGCAAAGCTAACTTTCTTGAGCAAAGGAGAGCACCAACTTGAGTGAGTCTTACTATTGTCTCAAAAGAAGGAAGGCAAGTGATCTTAGAAAATTTGGAGGCCGCTTTTAGTCATAGTTTCATGTAGAAGTTAAGTTTAATGTGAGCAGAGATTGGTCTGGATTTTTAAATAGTCAAGGTGTTCTCATTTTTAAAACACATAAGCCTATGTGAAGTTATGGCATTGTAGTCTTGGGACATAAGAGTCTGAAACAGCTAGTGTTCTCATTATACTTAATTATTACTTGCATTCTATATTGGCACCAAGATACATAAAGAAAATAATGACTGATTGTAGAAGTTATATAAGTGCTCGGGATCAGTTATCGAAATCGGAAATGATAAAATAAAGACTAGGAAAATCTCTTTTCTAGAAGTCAACATAATTGTGTGGTTACCTGAGTAATTGTCCAGACTTTATCTTAACTACCATTAAATACCTGAGCCTGGTTAACATAATTCAAAGAGAGTAAAAATAATTACCTCACCCCAAAACTTTGTATATTTTAAATGGTGTCTTTTAATTTTAAGCAATTAAACCATACAATTTAATATTACTTTTAAAAATTGATGTATAAATGGTTCTGTGTTTCAATATCACAGCTATGAGAAAGCAGATGCAGACATATAGATACCAAAATCTTTAGCTCATTTAGGGATGGCAACTGAAGATTCAATGTCAATTTTACTAATAATTAATGTTCATCATCCATCCATATATTTAAACTTGACTTATATTATAGTTCTAATAGGACAGAAATTAACTTGTACTATTTTTTAAAGATAGACAAATAATTAAAAAGCTGATATGGGGTAAGATAACTGAATACTTATAGTAAATGTGCTGCTGCATCTACTTCATCCATGTAACCTATGTGCAGCTATTTTGGCATAGACATGGATATATTTTGCTTTCGAAACATATCACTAAAAATATCTTTTAAAAAAATCACAATCCTAATGGCAGAGCTTCTTGTGGCTCAGAGAAGACATGTGAGCAAAGACATTATTAATCAGAGAGAGGTAGCGACAGGGAGATAACAGAGAGACAGAAGCAGATGAAAAGAAAAGGGGAGAAAAAGAGAAAAGAATTTCCTCTGCTAACAGCTTGGCATTGTGTAGATGAATAAGCCTCGGTGGTCCTAGAAGTAATTGTAATAAATACTTAGGAAACACTAGAAAATATTGAAGTGACATCGTATTTTTTCTGACATGAATAAGTTCAATAGTGTAGATAATAATATGACTTTTTTCTTAAATTCTTTAGAATGATTATTTAAAAGCCAAGGAGAGGCTGGCTCATGTAACTGTATTTGAAAGCCCAGATAACCTACAAAAATTAAGACAACATTTAAAAATTTAGTTTAGATTATCTAACTTACAATCTGTGTAACATTTGCAAGATGAGAAATGAACCTTGCAATTAAAAAAAAGCCATTCTAGAGTACAAATAAAAGTAATTGGCATTTTAATAAATGTAATGGTCTTTTATGTAATATTTATATGTATGAAGAAATGCTATAAAAATCTACTTGTAGAATGGCATGAGTGCTTTCATTAGTAATATTTGTTATATATTTAGTTAGTAGTTTTCAACTATGTCATTGTTCAGCTTCTCTTTTGCATGATTTTGAAAGTTAAGCCACATAAACTGTGAAAACAGGCCCTGAGTTTTTCTTGCTCATGTCTATACTCTCAGTGCTAAGTGAAATACATAGAATATAATAGAGACCCAATAAATAACCACTGAAGGAATGAATAAATAAATGAAGCAATCAATCAGTGAGAAGGCTTGCAAAGTTATGGTTTGCACACAATATCAATTTATCACTCTTGCCTACTAGTAACAATCTCATTTTCAACTAAATTGTGATATGCATCCTGTATCCCAGCCACGCCATTTTACTTACATTTTCCTGGATGAGTTATGCCTCCATGCTTACCTAGCATATTTTACACTCTGAGTAAATCAGTTTTGTACCTCTTTCTTCTATATGACAAAATTATTATTAATTAAAATAATTTAATAATTAGAAACATTCATCATTTTGTTTATTTGTTGTTAAAGCAATTGGAATTTTTCAAAGTAAATTGCAATGTAGAGATTTTGGTTAAATTTATCAAACTATTTCATGCATAAGTTAAATTTGTACTTTTCAAACAAAAAAGTTGCAAGTCACACTTTGTGTTCTTTTTCAGTCTTCTAAATCGTGAACATATTTAAAATTTTCAAGTGCCTAAGTAGAAAGAACTGAGGTAACTCAAGTTCCGTTTCTTAATTTTCACATGGTGAACTATTATTATTTTTTGAATCTACTGTTGAAAAGTAAATATATGTAGTACACAGAATTGAAATCACTGACTGCATTCTACATCTCACGCAAACAATACTATTATTTCTGATCTTATGCTCTTAATCATATATTTATTTGAAATTTTCCAAATTAACATCTATAAAAAATAAAAATATTGGTGAAAGTACAAGTAATAAAATGTGCTAACCTGACATTTATGTTTCTAAAAAACTTCAAAAGTAACCACAGCACCAGCCACTGTTTAAAATTAAATAAATGGCTCAGGTGTGGTGGTTCATACCTGTAATCCCAGCACTTTGGAAGGCCGAGGTACAAGGATCATTTGAGGCCAGGAGTTCAAGATCATCCTGGGCAACATAGCTAGAGACTCTGTCTACCAAAGTAACACTAAAATTAGCGGTCCATGGTGACATGTGCCTGTAATCCTAGCTACTCAGGAGGCTGAAGTGGGAGAATCACTTGAGTCCAGGAGCTCAAGGCTATAGTGATCAATGACTGTACCACTGCACTGCAGCCTGGGAGACAGAGCCAGACCCTTTCTCTAAATAAATAAATAAAATGAAATATTTTGCTCTGAGAGAAGTAATTTATCATTAGCATTGCTTAGAATTGCTCACATATGCTTTTAATTAAAATAAGGCTGACTTTTAACTGGTTTATCATTGTTTTTTAAATTTCTACAGAAAATGTACCACTTATGGCCTGAATCCAAGTCACCCAATGCAATTTTCCTTTTCTGCACCTGGTGATTCCTTATCTGTCCTCGAAGACTTACCTGAAATCTAACTTCCTTATGAAGATTTTCTTAACCATTACCAGGCAACACTAAGTTCTGTCTTCTTGCTGTTTATATAGCATACCTGTTTATACAATATTTTGATTTACTTTACTTTTCATTGTTCTTTCCTGCTACTGACCACTCCACCACACTCCTGATTGTAACATGACAGGTACTGTTTATTTGGATAAAGATGATCACAGAACAATCAATTATGTTGGTTGGCCCCCTCACTCTTGTAATCCCAGCACTTTGGGAGGCTGAGGTGGGAGGATCACGAGGTCAAGAGATGGAGACCATCCTGGCTAACATGGTGAAACCCTGTCTCTACTAAAAATACAAAAAATTATCCAGGCGTGGTGGCACACACCTGTAGCTACTCGGGAGACTGAGGCAGGAGAATCGCTTGAACCAGGAGGCAGAGGTTGCAGTGAGCTGAGATCACAGCACTGCACTCCATCCTGGGTGACAGAGTGAGACTCTGTCTCAAAAAGAAGAAAAAAAAGTATTAATTATGTGATTTTTTCAGGAAACCATCCCTTAACAATTGAAATAAAAGCTACCAATGTAAGGGTATTTATCATATGTTGATAATCTCTCAAAAGTTCTAAAATTAATGGCATAAATATGTTTTAATCATTTTATAATGTGTAAAATATAAAATTTCATGACTTAAACAGCCCCTTTTAATTTCTCTTCGTTGCGTGTTATTGTACCACAGGTTGCTGCTAGAGGAAGCGAATATGCAAAGAAGGAAGATTTTTAAAGTATCCTCTCATTCATTAATTCCAGTTTCTTAGAAGAGTATAAAAGAAGACAAGTGGAAATTTACTGGCAAAAATAAAGTGTACTAAACTTCATTGACCTCATGGGAAGCAACGGTGCTTTTCCAATCTTCCACTTTCAAGATTCTAAGAAATCATGTCCAATTTAATTACAGGAAAGAGATAAAAAAAAACCATTAAGATTGGGAGTTTCATTGAAGGGGAGGTTCATTAAAAAATCCAGATTAATGTGAAAATAATTCACCAATTCAATTACCTGGGAAAACGAAGATGGGAGCTTCTAGTGTTATTGATGACAATAATGGAAAGGAGAAAGGGAACAAAGAGTTCAATTGAGTGTATGTGAAGAGACAATGCTGTGCTTAAATGAAAGCAAAGGTCAGAGGCCAGGTTTTCCTAAAGACATAGAGATTTTCTAAAGTATTTACTGGAAGAGAAACTCAACCCAGAAGGGTAAGCTAACATCTTTCATGAAAGCGAAGCAACTATTAATCCAAGGTTATGCAACTCTATAAAATATATTAAATAGTCTATGAAGCAGTACATTTTGTTTGTGATTTGTGAGTTAATGAACTATAACAAGTTTCTCTTCACTACATTTTATTCTCATTTATCAAGTTTAAATTTTACTCAGGGGACTAACTATTATAGGTAACATCTAGTACTGTGGTACTTTTACTCTGGAAGCTATAAGTAACTGCAGGGACAAATGCAAACAAAAAAATTCATAAGCACTTCTGTTTAATGGGAAGCAAACATTTATAGTTTGTATGCCCAAAAGTCCATCTCATGAGAATAAAGTAACCAGAATTTAAAATTATAACCCAATTAATTTAGTAGCTTCATATAAGCTCACACTATTTGATCATAATTTATTATACCAATCTTCTATTTGAAGTCATTTATTTGTTAATATATATTTATATGTTACAAAATAATATGTCTTTGAGAATATGTATTTTTTTGTACAATTTAAAGCAATTTCCTCATCAAAAATTTGTGGAAATAAAAAAGCTGAGTCAAAAAATAAGAAAGTTTTATTGTAAGTAAAATAATAAAATGTTCTCTAACAATAAAATTAACATTTGTTCTAATTATCTGCTAACTAGGCAGGGGCACGGTGGCTCACACCTGTAATCCCAGGACTTTGGGAGGCCGAGGCAGGTTGATCACTTGACGTAAGGAGTTTGAGACCAGCCTGGCCAATATGGTGAAACCCTATCTCTACTAAAAATACAAAAAAAAATAGCCAGGTGTGGTTTCACATGCCTGTAGTCCCAGCTACTGGGGAAGCTGTCGCAGGAGAATCATTCATTTGAACCCAGGAGGAGACAGAGGTTGGGGTGATTTGAGATCGTGCCACTGGAGTCCAGCCTGGGCAACAGGGTGGGACTCCATCTCAAAAAAAAAAAAAAAAAGAAAAAAATTATCTGCCAACTATAAACCAGATATTTTCAATAGAAATTTCTACAAAGATTGGAATGCTCTAGATCTTCCCTTTCCAATATGTTATCATATATCGCTAATGAACACTGAAAACATAACTAATGTGACAAAGAAACTAAATTTTCAGTTTTATTTAATATTATTTAGTTTAAATTTAAATAGCCATATATGGCTAGTGGTGACTTTATTTGATTGCACAAACAGACAAATAGAAACTTGTTTTGTAATTTACATTTTTGGATACTGTGAAGGTTTATTGTCTTTAATAAAATAATTGATCAAATGTATTTTTTGTGTGAGAATTTCATATGTATGGTTTTCATCTAGTTTTCTACTAGAGTCTTCCAGATGAAAATCAAAAGAAAAGAAAGAAAGCCAAATGAAAATCAAGGAAAAAAGAAAGAGGGTAAGAAGGAATAACGAATAGATGGAAGGATGGGAAGAAAGCAGAAAGAAAGAATAAAAGGAAGAAAGAATGAAAGGAAGGAAGGAAGGAAGGACATATCTGGGATGTACAGCATAGCAATGTAGATCCAATTTGGAAACTAAATTTACTCAATAAGTTAAATAGGAGATGTTTAATATAAATAATAGTTACTATGATAAAAGAGTAACTATAACATATAAAGTATCTCAGGTATCTGTATGGTACTCCAGGGCTGAGGGAGAATTCACAAGGAAGGACAAACTTCGAAGAGACTAAGGTCTTTTTAAAGAATATTTGATTTGAAGCACAGGATGGCAAAGGAGTTGGCTGACTTTGTCAAACTGGAGTTGGTCTGGTGTTGCTCAGCAAACAGTAGGTCATCTTCTAGAGTACAGGTGGAAGAGCAGATCAACAACCAGTAATGTGGATGCAGTGAAAATCCGGGTGTCTGTGGAGCTGGAGGCTTTTAGAGCATGCAGTGGAGTGGAGGCTTGCCAAGGGAGCCCAGGGGGCAGCTGCATGCAGGCTGTGCAAAATTCTACCTTTCATTTCTAGAGA